>NC_000013.11:79172309-79325149 GCF_000001405.40 Homo sapiens
TGGCTGAGTAGTATTCCATGGTATATATATATATACATATATATATATAATCACAATTTCTTTTTTTTCTTTTTTTTTTTTTTGAGACAGAGTTTCACTCTTGTTGCCCAGGCTGGAGTACAATGGCATGATGTTGGCTCACTGCAACCTCCATCTCCCGGGTTCAAGTGATTCTCCTGCCTCAGCCTCCAGAGTAGCTGGGATTACAGGCAACCACCACACCTAGCTAATTTTTTGTATTTTTAGTAGAGACAGGGTTTCACCAGGTTGGCCAGGCTGGTCTTGAACTACTGATCTCAAGTGATCCACCCCCTCAGCCTCCCAAAGTGCTGGGATTACAGGCGTGAGCCACTGCCCCCAGCCCTAATCACAATTTCTTTAACCACTCATTGATTAATGGACATTTGGGTTGGTTCCATATTTTTGCAATTGCGAATTGTGCTGCTATAAACATCTGTGTGCAAGTATCTTTTTTGTGTAATGACTTCTATTCCTCTGAGTAGATAGCCAGTAATGGGATTGCTGGATCAAATGGTAGTTCTACTTTTAGCTCTTTAAAGAATCTCCACCCTCCTTTTCACACTGATTGGACTAGCTTACATTCTCAGCAGCAGTGTAAAAGTGTTCCCCTTTCACCATATCCATGCCAACATCTATTTTTTTTTAATTTTTTGATTATAGCTATTCTTGCAAAAGTAAGGTGGTATTGCATTGTGGTTTTGGTTTGCATTTCCCTGATCATTAGTGATGCTGAGCATTTATTTCATGATTGTTGGCCATTTGTATATCTTCTTTTGAGACTTGTCTATTCATGCCCTTAACCTGCTTTTTGATGAAATTGTTTGTTTTTTTCTTGCTAATGTGTTTGAGTTACTTGTAGATTCTGGATGTTAGTCCTTTGTTGAAAGTACAGATTTTGAAGATTTTCTTCCACTCTGTGAGTTGTCTGTTTACTCTGCTGATTGTTTCTTTTGCTGTGCAGAAGCTTTTTAGTTTAATTAAGTCCCATCTACTTATCTTTGTTTTTGTTACATTTGCTTTTGGGTTCTTAGTCATGAAGTCTTTGCCTAAGCCAATGTCTAGAAGAGTTTTTCCGATGTTATCTTCTAGGATTCTTATGGTTTCAGGTCTTAGATTTAAGTTCCTTGATCCATCTTGAGTTGATTTTTGTATAAGGTGAGAGATGAGGATCAAGTTTCATTTTTATGCATGTGGCTTGCTAATTATCCTAGCACCATTTGTTAAATAGGCTGTCCTTTCCCCACTTCATGTTTTTGTTTGCTTTCTTGAGGATCAGTTGGCTGTAATATTTGGGTTTATTTCTGGGTTCTCTATTCTGTTCCATTGGTTTATGTGCCTATTTAAAAAAAAAGGTATTCATATCATGAGAGTGACACTGTATAAAAAACAGAAAAAATAGCATAAAATAAAAAACCAAGGTATTCAGGCAACAAATAGCATGATGAATAAAATAGTACCTCATATCTCAATACTAACATTGAATGTAAAGGGCCTAAATGCTCCACTTAAAAGATACAGAATGGCAGAATGGATAAGAATTCACCAACCAATGATCTGCTGTCTTCAAGAGACTCACCTGACACATAAGGACTCACATAAACTTAAGGTAAAGGGGTAGAAAAAGATATTCCATGCAAATGGACTCTAAAAGTGAGCAGGAGTAGCTAGACTTACATCAGATGAAACAAACTTTAAGGAAACAGCAGTTAAAAAAGACAAAGTGGGACATTATACAAAGAGGGTAAAAGGACTTGTCCAATAGGAAAATATCACAATCCTAAATATATATGCACCTAACACTGGAGCTCCCAAATTTACAAAACAATTACTACTAGACCTAAGAAAGGAGATAGACAGCAACACAATAATAGTGGGGGACTTTAATACTCCACTGACAACACTAGGCAGGTCATCAAGATAGAAAGTCAACAAAAAAAAATGGATTTAAACTATACCCTAGAACAAATGGACTTAACAGTTATGTACAGAACATTCTACCCAACAACTGCAGAATTTACATTCTATTAATCAGCACATGGAACATTCTCAAAGAGAGATCATATGATGGGCACAAAACAAGTCTTATTAAATTTAAGAAAATTGAAATTATATCAAATATTTTCTCAGATCACAGTCGACTAAAATTGGTAATCAACTCCAAAAAGAACCCCCAAACCATGCAAATACATGGAAATTAAGTAACCTGCTCCTGAATGATTATTGGGTCAACGATGAAATCAAAATAGAAATTAAAAAATTATTTGAACCGAATGATAATAGTAATACAACCTATCAAAACCTCTGGGATACAGCAAAGGCAGTGCTAAGAGTAAAGTTCATAGCCTTAAATGCCTACATCCAAAACTCTGAAAGAGCACGAATAGACAATCTAAGGTCACACCTCAAGGAACTAGAGAAACAAGAACAAACAAAACCCAAACCCAGCAGAAGAAAAGAAATAAAGATCAGAGCAGAACTAAATAAAATTGAAACAAAAATATCCAAAAGGTAAATGAAACAAAAAGCTTGTTCTTTAAAAAGATAAATAAAATTGATAGACCATTAGCAAGACTAGCCAAGAAAAGAAGAGAGAGGGTCCAAATAAGCTCAATTAGAAATTATATGGGAGATATTACTACTGATACCGCAGAAATACAAAAGATAATTCAAGGCTACCATGAATGCCTTTATGTGCATAAATGAGAAAACCTAGAGGAGATGGATAAATTCTTGGAAAGAAGCAACCCTCCTAGATTAAGCCAGGAAGAAATAGAAACTCTGAACAGATGAATAACAAGCAGTGAGATTGAAGCGGTAATTTGTATGGTAATTTTACAAATTACCAACAGCAACAAAAAGTCCAGGACCAGATGGATTCACAGCTGAATTCTATCAGATATTTAAAATGAGAAGAATTGGTACCAATCCTATTGACACTATTCCACAAGTTAGAAAATAGTGCCCTCCTTAAATCATACTACGAAGCCAGTATCACTCATTCTATGAAACCAGTATCACCAAAACCCATAAAGGACAAAACAAAAAAGAAAACTACAGACCAATATCCCTGATGACTATAGATGCAAAAATTCTTAACAAAATACTAGCTAAATGAGTTCAATAGCCTATCAAAAAGATAATCCACCATGATCAATTTGGTTCCATACCAGGGATGCAGGGATGGTTTAAGATCTGCATATCAATAAATGTGATACACCACATAAACAGAATTTAAAACAAAAATCACATGATCATATCAATAGACATAGAAAAATCATTTGACAAAATGAAGCACCCCTTTATGATTAAAACCCTCAGCAAAATTGGCAGAGAAGGGACATACCTTAAGATAACGAAAGGCATCTATGACAAATCCAAAGCCAACATTATACTGAATGGAGAAAAGTTGGAGAATGGGAGACAAGGATGCCCACTCTCACCGCTTCTATTTGACATAGTACTACTGGAAGTCCTAGCCAGAGCAATCAGACAAGAGAAAGAAAGGGCATCCAAATCAGTAAAGAGAAAGTCAAACTATCACTGTTTGCTGGTGATGTGATCATATACCTAAAATACCCTAAGGACTCATCCAAAAAGCTCCTAGAACTGATAAATGAATTCAGCAAAGTTTCAGGATACAAAATTAATGTACACAAATCAGTAGCTCTGCTATACACCAACAGTGACCAAGCTGAGAATAAAATCAAGAACTCAATAGCAGCAAAAAATAAAAATAAAATACTTAGTAGTATGCCATACAATAACTGCAATAAAATAAAATACTTAGGAATATACCTAACCAAGGAGGTGAAAGGTCTCTACAAGGAAGACTACAAAACACTGCTGAAAGAAACCACAAATGACACAAACAATTGGAAATACATCCCATGCTCATGGATGGGTGGAATGAATATTGTGAAAATGATCATACTGCCAAAAGCAATCTACAGATTCAATGTAATTCCCATCAAAATACCACCATCATTCTTCACAGAACTAGAAAAAACAATTCTAAAATTCATATGGAACAAAAAGAGCCCACATAGCCAAAGCAAGACTAAGCAAAAAGAACAAATCTAGAGGCATCACATCACCTGACTTCAAACTACACTATAAAGCCATAGTCACTGAAACAGCATGGTACTGGTATTAAAAATACATTACCACAGTTTTCCATTGAGGGAGATCACCAAACATTGTAATAAGGGGTGTGCTAGTGAATGACCTGAGTTTCAGAGATACTGTTTCTTTTTCATGACATAACAGCAACCCCAGTCCCCTTGGTAAAAGGATCAAGCACCCTGGTAAGAAGAGTAAGCTCTGCTTTCTCTGTCTGAGGATTTAGTGTCATGAGGAACTAAAAAAGTTTAGGAGTAGTCTCAGCTTACATATTATTTGAGCCATCACCATTGGAAAAGTTTCTTCCTTGAGAACTAGGCTTTCTAAACGGTTGAGCCCCAAGTTGCAGAGACAAGAAGCAAAAGTTCTCTAAATGAGTTATTAGGTCCGAAATGAGTCTTCCTCATTTCTGATACCAACTACATTATCAAACAGGATCCCAGCAGAAAAGAGAAATCACACAGATGATTTAAGTGAGGATATTTACAGAGGTCTGAGCAGAGTCAAGGCAATAAATAAAGGATATTGAGGCATCCATGGATTACTTAAACCAGGAAGCTATTAAAAAAAGGGAAAGAACCAAGTACCAGAACCCAATGAGAACTGGAACCATGGAGGAGAAGCTTCCCATTGGAGCTAAAGTTGTAGAGAAATTCAGCTGCAGCCAGAGAAATAGAGCTAGTGGGAAAGAAAGGAGGAAGAAATTCCCTGCCCTTTCTCTCCTCCTGCCCTTTCATCTCCTGCTAGTGTCTCCCATTATCCGTTGTCCAAATGCAATTAGAAAGAGAGCCCAGGTGATGCCTTTCAGGAAACATAGAATATCAAAGAAAGATAGACAAGATGTTGGAGCATGGGATGTCAGAAAAATAACCAAAGAACAGGGATCTGTTTCTGGGTCTTCTATTTTGTTTTACTGGTCTTTTAGTGTATTTGTGGGTCAATATTATGCAGTTACATATGTACATTTTTCTAATGATCTGAAATGTCACTGTTATATTAAATTTTAACATGTGCCCATGTCTGTTTCTAGAGTCTCTATTCTGTATTGTGTATATCTGCACCAATAAACACACCTTTTTCATTATATCTCAACAGAATATTGTGACATCTGATAAGGTGAGTCCTTCCCCTCATTGTTTTTTCATTAATTTTGTTGCTTATTTTGTTTTCAATGTGTTTTTTATTATTTCTATTTCTCTTCAAGATTACACAGTGGATCAACTTCCAAAAATACCATAGCTATTTTTATCAGAATTTATATTGATTTATAGATAAATCACAAAGAAATTTGATATTTTCACATTATTGAATCCTCTCAACTAGGAGCATACTATCCTTTGCATTTCTTAGATCTTCCTGTATTCTTCAATAAAGCATTACAAGTTTCTCAATATAGATCCTATGAGTTTGCACTTAGTTTAACCCTTAGTATCTTCAGTAGCTTGTGGATATTGCAAATGGACTCTATTTCTACTTCATTTACCCTCTAATTCATTCTAACCATTTATTAGTTAATGTTCCTGGGTTTTTAGATTAAGCTACCTTTTCTTCTACAAATGGAGACTACCTCCTTCTTTTATACACACACAGACACATACACACACACATCTTAGTTCTTTTTCTTGCGCTGGAAAGACAAACAGTAAGAGTAAGACCAAGATCCATTCTCAGTTCCTGAGCTTAAAGAAATGTTAGGAATGATGTTTGCTCTATCCGTGGCTATCTTTGCACTGAGAATGTTTCTTCTCTTGCTAGTGGCTTTTTATGAAAAATGAATTGTATTGAGTTCGAATTGAATTATATCACATATATGGTGCTCAGGGTTTTTTTTGTCATCTATCAAGATGATTTATATGGATTTTTAAATTTTCATCTCATGCAAGTTCCCTGAGATCTTGCCTATCTTTTTCACACTTTTTCCCCAATACCTAGAATAGTGCCCTCCTCACTGTAGACATTTTAGAAATATTTCCTGAATAATTATATAAATGTTAATAAAGTATTTATTGATTGTGATTAATTTCATTGATGGAGCTGTAGTGGTGATTCATATTTGCATTCCTAGGATAAATCCTAAATGAATTATTCTTTTGATATATTGCTGGATTTAATTTAGCACTGTGTTAATATATATTTTTTTACATTGGTGGATAAATTGTATGTATTTATCAGGTACAACATGATGTTTTAAAGTACATCTACAGTGTGGAATGACTACCTCTAGCTAATATATATGCAATACCTCACACAGTTATCATTTTTGTGGTGGGAACACTATATCCACTCCTGAGCATTTTCAAGAATTCAATACAAGGCCGGGCATGGGGACTCAGCCCTGTAATCCCAGTACTTTGGGAGGGTGAGGCGAGAGGATTGCTTGAGCCCAGGAGTTTGAAACCAGCCTGGGCAACATAGTGAGATGCCACCTCTACAAAAAGATCAAAAGATTAGCCAGGCGTGGTAGCACATGCCTGTGGACCCAGCTACCCAAATGGCTGAGGTAGGAGGATTTCTCAAGCCCAGGAGGTCAAGGCTGCGCTGAGCCATGATTGCACCCCTGCACTCCAGCCTGGGCAACAGAGCAAGACCCTGTCTCAAAAAAAAAAAAAAAAAAGAATCATTACAGTGCACTATTAACTATAGTCGTGTTGTACAACAGACCTCTTAACTTACTGCTCCTGTTTAACTAAAAATTTATGACCAACATCTCCCCAACCCACCCACCCTCTCCAATCATGCCAGCTCCTGGTAACCACCTTTCTACTCTCTACTTCTATACAATCAACATTTTTAGATTCCACATATGAGTGATATCATAAAGTATGTGTCTTTCTGTGCCTGTCTTATTTCACTTAACATAACGTCTTCCAAGTTCATCCATGTTGTCACAAATGATAGGATTTCTTTCCTTTTAATGGCTGAATAGTATTCCATTGTATATATATACTACATTTTTTTCATTTATTCATCTGTTGATGGACAGTTAAATTGATTTCATATCTTGGCTATTGTGAATAATGCAGCAATAAAAATGTGTTATATATAAAGTTTCGGTGCCGCAAAAGTAATAGCACTCGAATATAAAATTTTCTTTTTAATTCTCAGCAAGGCAAGTTACTTCTATATAGAAGGGTGTGCCCTTAGAGATGGAACAATGGTGAGCGCACACTTGGACAAGGGCAGGGAAGGGGTTCTTATCCCTGACGCACGTGGCCCCTGCTGCTGTGTCATTCCCCTATTGGCTAGGGTTAGACCACACAGGCTAAACTAATTCTGATTGGCTAATTTAAAGAGAATGATGGGGTGAGTGCTTTGGCAGGAGTCAGGGCAGAGCAGATAGCAGGTAATTGGAATGAGTTAGGATGGAGCAGGCGATTGGAATGTAGGGTAGAGAAGGTGATTAGAATGAGTCAGGGTGGAGTAGGTAATTGAAAAAGGTTGCTGGAAACCATCATTCTCAGCAAACTATCGCAAGGACAAAAAACCAAACACCGCATGTTCTCACTCATAGGTGGGAATTGAACAATGAGAACACTTGAACACAGGAAGGGGAACATCACACACCGGGGCCTGTTGTGGGGTGGGGGGAGGGGGGAGGGATAGCATTAGGAGATATACCTAATGTAAATGACGAGTTAATGGGTGCAGCACACCAACATGGCACATGTATACATATGTAACAAACCTGCACGTTGTGCACATGTACCCTAGAACTTAAAGTATAATAAAAAATATATGTATATAAAAAAGAAACTAATCTAAAATAGAAAAAAAATGTTGCTTTACAAAGAAGTTAAGTTTACAAGTAGAAGGCAAAGAATTGAACATACGGATATATTAATTCTTTGAAAAGAAATTTAGAACTCATATCTAACAAATGGAATTACAGATAGCTCTTTGATGTAACGATTTTACTTCCTTTGGAGATACACCAAATAGTGGGATTGCTGGATCATGTGGGAATTCTATTTTTAATTTTTTGGGGAAACTCCATGCTGTTTTCCATAATGGCTTACGCCAATTTAGATTCTCACCAACAATCTTGGCAGTCTTCAATTTACGATTTTTATTTCTGTGTTCATAAGTTAAATTGTTGTGTAGCTTTCTTTTAGAAGCTATGCTTATCTAATTTAGGCACTAAGATTATTCTATCCTTATAAAATAAGGTAAAAACACTTCATCTTTAACATTCTCTGAAAATAAATTATTTTTTTCTTGAAGGACTGATAGAACTCATACACTAAACTCTCCTTTTCTGGTGCTTTTTAAATGAGTATTTGTTTTTCCTTACATTTTCATTTTCTTCTGTCTTCATTAGCTTATTTACATTTATTATTCCTTCTCAAGTCATTCTTACTATATATAGTAGCCCATGAAATCATCCATTGTATAATATTTTTATATTTATTGATATATTATAATTAAAGTATCTCAAATTTTTAAAATATCTTTTATATCTGAGTTTATGTTATATTTTCTCATTTCTGATATTATTTATGCCTTCTCTCCCTTTGTTTCTTAAACTTTTCTAGAGACAGGGTCTCACTATGTCACCCAAGCTGGCCTCAAACTCCTGATCTCAAGCCATCCTCCCACCTTAGCCTCCAGAGTAGCTGGGATTACAGGTGCAAGCCACCACACTTACCACCTTTTATTTCTTGATATAACTTGACAAAGGTTTTTAAATACTTTACTGATTATTTCAAAGAACAAATTTTAGACTAGTATTATTTACCATTTCTATTATGTTTGGCTTCATTTTATATGACAAATATATGGTTTTCCTTTTTTCTACTCTGTTTACTTTGTTTTCCTTTTTTCAGCTTCTTGAGATGAATACTTTGCTTATTCATTTTCAAATTTTATCTCCTAATCAATGCATTTATGTCTATAAAATTTCCTAAGTACACTTTTGGCTGTATCCCATGGGTTTGAAATAAATACAAATCTATTTGCTGGTTTTGTTTCTAAATGGCCTATAATTATAGCTTTAGTTCCCTCTTTAAAAATGTTTGGGTTTTTTTTAAAAAAACTATCTTTTTGTTGTTTATTTCTAATATGATTTGCATTATGGGCAAATATTTTGACCAGTATCATTTCAGCTTTGGATAATTATTTTGTGGATTTTTTAAATCAACTATATGATTAATTTTTGAAAAGTTCTCTGTGTTGTGAAAAGAATGCGTACACCTTCAAGAATTGCATATGTAATAGAGCAATCATGTTGATTGTTATTCAGATATTCTAGGTTCTTGTTTATTCTTTGTTTTCTTGATCTATTAATTTTTAGAGAGGTATCTATTTTTTTCCTATCCTATTTTTCACTTTCTCTCATAAAACATAGGGCAGGGAAAAAATAGCTTCTACTATTGAGTCCCCAGCATGTGGAACAGTGCCTTCAGTATGCAAACTATGTGACTTACATTCAGTGCTTTGCCATCTCAATAGAAAAGCTTTTCAACATTTTCAAGTTCTTTAATTCTTTCCTGTTCCACCATGGGTGGGTTTACCTACACAGGCAAATGAACTAAGACCCAGACAATATTATTCTGTCATAAGAGACTCTTTAAGGTCAGCGACTTTGTCTTATTCACCAATATATACCCCCGAACCTAGAATATTTACTGGAACATAGTAAGTGTCCATGGGATGAATGAATAAATATTTAGCTCACCAGCATGCAGATGGGTCATTTTCAAATGGCAGAGTGTTTAAAACTTGGTTTCATTTTCAAATCATGTGTCCTCTGTTTATCTAGAATCTATTAAACAGTTTTCTTACACAGAGCAAGAAAGCTAACCTTACCAAAGTGGAAATAATGTTCTCTTGTTACCGCCACGTCAATGGAGCTACAGAGAGTTCACCTAAGCTTCCTCATTCTTTAAAATGTTAAAGTATGCAATGCTCTCCAATCCAACTGAGGCTGACTCCTAAGTTCTGTTTTCTACATCAGATAGGAATGCCTGATAGAAAGACAGATTAGGGAACAGCCATTCACTTTAGATGGTATTAACTATTGGTCCAGGTCACAGCTAAATTGGCTTGGCTTAGGCTGTTGGTGCATATTTAATGTGGAGATGAGTTAAATGAAGAGATTGGTCTGTCCTCTTGACCCCCTTCTCTATTCAATTCTTGTCTTCTCATCAACACCTAAAATTTGGAAGATGCTTTAATCCAAGAGCATACAAAAAGGAGCATCCATTTTTTTTCACCTATGTTCTCCAGAAGCTGAAGCCTGCTTTTTTTGTGCACATTCCTGAACTGACCCTGCTGGATCCAGAACTAGCTTGTCCCAGGCCACATGGATATGCATTAGGAGAGCTCCTTAACTAGATAGCTCCTTAACACTTAAAGACTTTTCAGATAAAATTGGTAGCAACATTAACAAATGTAACTTTTGATACATTACATATATGTGTAATGGAACACATGAGTTATAATGCATTAGTTACACAAACATGCAGGAGTAAAAGATCCATTTTAAACGTAAGACCGATCAATATATTTCAGTATTTCACTCCAAACTCTTACAGTGTTATTTCACTCCAAACTCTTACAGTGTTCCAGGCCATATAAAGCTTTTTACAGGCCAATGGATTTGCGTGACTTGTCAAGAAGGAATTTAGGACCCTGTATGGAGATACAGCCAAAAGTGTAGCACCTTACTCAAAACTACAAAGAGAATTGACTTTTAACCTATTATGGTGCCCTCATGCTGTTGCAGATTGAGTTCCCTGAGAAGTAGACCCTAAGGGCTTTGTTGTGCAGGATTTTTACCAAGCAGAGACCTTGAAATTAACACATGAGGAGGGAGGGGAAGGAGATAGGAAAGGGCAAAGGGAGAAGTCAAGCACTGATGCAGGCCAATTGACAGCTCAGCTGACCCCACCAGGAGCTCAGGAGTTGGAATGAACTCTAGGAGTTGCCCTGAGTTACACAAAAATGGCCATGTCTTTATACACCTGCATCCATCAACCACTAGATGCAGGTCACTCTGGGAAAAAATGCGACCTTTGGTGAGGTGGCTCTCTGCAGCTGAGACAATCCTTGAAGGGACTAATAGCTGAAAGCTGCCAGTGAGCAACACTCCCAGCAACTAGGGCAATATGTTCTTCCTCAAAGGGGAGATCACAGCACATCTCAGTGTTCTCACACATTAGTGATCTAGACTTGAGATTCGCATCTCTCTATTTGGAAGATAGAACAGCAGCAATCCAACTTTTTGGTCTCAAGATCCCTCTCCACTCTTAGAAACTATTGAGGACTCCAAGCAATATTTAGATAGATTATATTTACCTTTAAAAAAATTAAGGCCGAGCACAGTAGCTCACACCTGTAATTCCAGCGCTTTGAGAGGCCGAGGTAGGTGGATCACTTGAGGTCAGGAGTTCGAGACTAGGCTGGCCAACATGGCGAAACCCCATCTCTACTAAAAATACAAAAATTAGCCAGGCATGGTGATGGGCACCTGTAGTCCCAGCTACTTGGGAAGCTGAGAAAGGAGAATCGCTTGGACCCGGAAGGCGGAGGTTGCAGTGAGCCAAGATTGTACCAATGCACTCCAACCTGGGTGACAGAGCGAGACTCTGTCTAAAAAAGAAATTAAGAACATATTTAAATATTTATTAACTTATTTTAAAATAACAATAAAAATCTATTATCTACTGGAAAAAAACTATATTTTCAAAAACAAGAAAATTAATGATAATATTGAAATTGTTTTTACATTTTTTTTGTCTATCTCTTTTTGTCTGACTTGGTGGAAGACTCCTGGATACTTTACTTCTGCATTTAATCTATTTCAATAATTATTTTTAGTTGAAGTATGTGAAGAAAATATGTCCTCACACAGACATGTAGCTGAAAAAGGAAAATGCATTTTCATAGACTTTCAGGCAGAGCACAGTGGCTCGTGCCTGTAATCCCACCACTTTGGGAGGCCAAGGTGGGAGGATCACTTAAGCCCAGGAATTCAAGATCAGCCTAGGCAACATAGGGAGACCCCCGTCTCTACAAAGAATTTAAAAATTAGCCTGGCATGGTGGTGCGTTCCTGTAGTCCCAGCTACTTGGGAGGCTGAGGTGGGAGGGTCACCTGAGCCTGGGAGGTCAAGATGCAGTGAACAGATATTGTGTCACTGCACTCCAGCCTGGGCAACAGAATGAGACCTTGTCTCAAAAAATAAAATAAAAGCCTTTCAGTTAATTAAGAACACTCTTCTTCAATATGCCCCAAAACTCAACAAGAGGTAGTTTCTTTTATTTTTATTTATTTATTTTTATTTATTTATTTATTTGTTTGTTTATTTATTTTGAGACTGAGTCTCACTCTGTCGCCAGGCTGGAGTGCAGTGGCACGATCTCGGCTCACTGCAACCTCCGCCTCTCGGGTTCAAGTGATTCTCCTGCCTCAGCCTCCCAAGTAGCTGGGACTACAGGCACATACCACCATGCCCAGCTAATTTTTGGATTTTTAGTAGAGACAGGGTTTCACCATGTTAGGGCCAGGATGGTCCCGATCTCTTGACCTCATGATCCGACCACCTCAGCCTCCCAAAGTGCTGGGATTATAGGCGAGCCACCACACCCAGCAGAGGTAGTTTCTTAAAAGCTAGTTGTAATGTGGAAACTGAAATCATACCAATGAACTTTACAACTTTGATCACTACTCTGTTACAGTGAAATATATGGATTGGTCTTACATTTCAAATGGATCTTTTACTCCTGCATGTTTGTGTAACTAATGCATTATAACGCATGTGTTCCATTACACAAATATGTAATGTATCAAAAAATTACATTTGCTAATGTCGCTACCAATTTTATCTGAAAAGTCTTTAAGTGTTAAGGAGCTGTCTAGTTTATGGTGGCATATACAAGTTTTCCAAAATTCTAAGTTTTGCTTGAAAGCCTGAATTTTATCATTGCAAACAAAAATTGTCAGTTGTTTTCCTTAAAGGGACATGTTCATTTTGTTTACTTTTAAGAAATATCTGCTAAATATCCAAGTCTGAGTAACTCTGGTGTATCTGTTAGTTATCCTTTCAAGTACAAATGGAAATTCATGGAAAGGGAGCTAATTCAGCTCACAAGGCAAACCATCCCACCAGTTCTTTTCCCTGAAATGTCCATGGTACTTTGTTATGCCAGCAGTGTTTTTTGAATACTTCCCACTTCAACAGTAGAATACTAAAGAGGTATACTTAGAACGGATACTTAGTAATATTTGTAATTTCTACTGCTTCATCAAAGACATCCTGTGAGTGACTGACAGTGAAAAACACAATGACCACCGCCAGAGCAGGCACCACTGCCTTTCTTGGTGTTGCAACACCACCACTTTGTCCCAGCATGGCTTTTGCACAGTCAGTGCAAACATCAACACAGTGCAAAAGACAAATAATGTCTTACTATGGTTATGTCAATAATTTTGACTACGGGACTTCAGAGAAGATCTCAGTGAACCCCCAGCAATTCAGACCATGCTTTGATAACAGCTGAGAGAGAGTATCCAAAACCCAACACAAGAAGGCTATTTGTGAAAAAATCATTATGATAAACTGGGCACCTAGATTAAGAGTCCAGTGGTTCTGTATTTCTTTGCTGCTGTCCCTGAAAAATGGGTTAAAATTATGTGAATAAATGTCCAGGGTAATACATTGTTTTTCTTCTCTCAAAAAGAGGATGCCTTTGGGGGTTTCCCCTAGAAAGTTCTAGAGTGTTTGAGACCCTCTTCTAGAAGCACAGGATGATGTCCAGTGCCGTGAGATCTCAGCAGAAAATAATGGAAATGCTGCCATTTGTGCTAAGTTATTAGACCTACAGAAATCCTTAGAACCTGAGACTCAACATAATTGAAATCTGAGGGGAAAAGAGGAGAAGGCAAAGAGTTTTACCAGCTATTTTGGTCTTTAGCAAAATAATGTTAGGCCTTTGCTCTCTAAATCTAAATATGGTAGTCTGGGGTCTAACAACCTCAAAAAAAATTTTCATTAATGTGTTATAAGAAGGAATTTATAGCTGCTATAATGAAATAGAAAGCAGCCAGAAATAAATTCCTTTAATAAAGGAAATTGAGTATGCTGTATATATCCCTAGATATTCCATTTAAAATATGTCACCATCTTAATCTAGTTACCTAGTAGTAAGGCAATTACATGATAAAGATTTAGAGTTGATGTAAATTTAGGGTTCAATTGTGATCTTGGATGCTTTTAACAAAATACTTCTTGTGGGAAAGCAAGCCCCTTGGCAATCTTTGCATTGTTGTGTTCAATTAAGTGACAATTTATTCTGGTTTTGTTTTTAATGGGACTCATCTTTTACTGTCATTACTAGTCCACCAGCAAGAACACTTCAGTGTTCTATTTTTCTCTTTAGAACAGAATCTGAAACATTGGAGTTTGCTTTTCTATTAAAGAAAAAGCTTGTGACTTATGGAAAGCCAGCTCCATCTAGCTTTCCTTCTTATTCCATGTCTCTGTCTATGTTCCATCAACATAAAATAATGGGTATAAGCTATTATCAAAGTACAGTTTCTTCTAAAATGGATCCTTGCCAAATGGACAGATTGGTGGCCTCATGTATAAATGTTCTTTTAAAGATATTCATACATATCCATTTGTTTCTATCATATTTTTCTCCATTTTGTCTTCCAAGAAAATAAATGGAGTTGGTTATTCTGAGGAAAAACTAAGATCTGCGTTATATTAAAACTACCTCACACAAACACACACTTCACTTCCTTTATTACATTTGAAATCTAGGTCTAACATTTTATGAAGGTTAAAAGGCAACCAGATTAACTGTTCAAATAATATTACACTTGAGGTTGTTTATTATGTGCATATAAGTTTTTATCAAAATATGCTAAAACAGTTTTCCTGAGACTTCTGAAGGAATAGTCTTCAGTCTTCCTTGTTGAAATCAATCTAAAAATATTTAGCATTGTGTAAATCTCGTAATAGCCACATGCATCTTTATTAGGTCATGCCAATATTAAAGAGATTAACAAGAAAAAAATTCAGTCCTTGTAGCATGTATTTCCTACGTTGTTACTATTAAATTATTCTGAAATTTGGAAAATTAATAAATAAACCCTGTAGTGAATCTACGCTCTTGGGTGAGGTTAAGAATTTACATGTCACCACAATTTTATCACTAAAGAGATGAGCTAACATCTTTATTAATTCACTTAAAACCATTATTTCACTTCAAAGAGATCTACATACATTTCAAAATATGTTGCTTTAACACATTTTCAGTACATTTTCATCAATATTTTATTTTGCTATCACCCAGCCTTACCCCTCATCACAAATAATAAAGCAGGGTAGCCAGGCAGTTTAACACAGCTTGAATTCAGCAACCGCCTTCCACTACTATCTTAATTCAAATACCAAAATACACTCCAAGGGACAAAAGAAGTTATCTGCAGTCAGAAAACATGACTCTGTAAATCGCTCAGAGTTTATAAAAGCTCCAACCACACTCACTATATATGATTTCTTAGATTCCATGTTCTATTTGGCTCAAAACCTATATTTGTACAGATAACATTGCTATTCATGAAGAGTAAAAAGGAGGCTGTCACAAGTGGAAATCCACTTAAACTGCCTTTCTGTTGAGGTTGAATGCTGCCCATCAACTCATTCATTCATCCACACAATACAATTATGAGAGTGCGCTATACACACAGTGTTCTGCAGTGCTCTATCCTCAGACTCTTAAAAGAAAATACATCCTAAGTTCTCCCACCCACAGGCATTGTACAGGCAATGTAAAGAGTGACGACAAGCCTTACATTTCTGCCATTAGTTCTCTTCAGGGTTAAGACCTATGCCTTTGCTAAAAGACAGTGATAGCCATTAAATACCATAGCATGATTTTGATTATCAGAAAAACCAGCAGAAAGAGATGCACCATGGAACAGAAGTCAGGACTCATAACTCTCAGCAGCATGACAGAGCACCAGGCAAAATATAAAGTAAGTGAATTTCATGGGGAGTACTTAGAACAGCAGAGAGAGCAGGTGTCTGGAGTCAAGGACATGTGTTGACTGCTAGCATCACTGTCACTAGCTGTATGATGATGAGTAATGCATTTCATTTCACTGACTTTCTGTTTCTTCACAGACAAACTGGAAATAATAAAATACTCCTGAAAGGGCTGATGCAAAAATTAGTATGTGGAAGTGCAAGGCACAGAGAAGACACTCAAAACGTTGTAGCTGCTTTTCCATCCTTTCTTTGAGATGAACATTAGTGTGAAGCAGAGGGCTGCCAGGAACTTTACATGTCATGGAGGGGGAAGGGATAAATTTGGGTAATCTAAATTCTATAAGCTTAAGGGTCTGAAAACCAACTTCAAATTTGCCTAGCACTAGGATATGCCCTATCTTGGGTCCCAAAGTCAAAGACTGTTTTGGTCAAGCACACAAAAAAAGGACTTTACAGACGATTTTGATTAAGAGCTCTAAGTATTTACAATCTACACCCCAGGTATTCCCAAACTCCATTTGAGCCTCAAAAATGTTTTTAGTGGGGCAGAGGAGGGTGAGACAATATCTTGCTCTGTTGCCCCGGCTGGTTACAATCTCAGCTCACTGCAATCTACGCCTCCTGGGCTCAGACGATCCTCCAACTTCAGCCTTCCAAGTAGCTGGGACTACAGGCATATGCCACCATGCCCAGCTAATTTTTGGTTTTGTTAATTGTTTGTTTTTGTTTGTTTGTTTGTTTTTTGTTTTCGCCATGTTGCCCAGGCTGGTCTCGACCTCCTAGGGTCAAGCAACCCATCCACCTTGGCCTCCCAAAGTCAAAATATGCTCTTACCAAGTCGAATTTCTCCTTGGTAGGCAGGACACTGCCAAACTTACCTTTTATGCTTTTTCCTTCTTCCATGTTTTCTCTCATCACAACTTTTTTATTTATCACCTTCTAAACAACACATCTTCAAATGATTCCTATTATCATAGAGCCACCACTTTTGTTTATACAAAATATAAGCATTCCCCCTCTTTAAGTTTCAGGATCCTTTAAGAAGAGATTTTAAAGAACCAATTAAACATGCTATAACTGAAAATGTTTCAAAATGAAATTCTAAGCATTGTCCAAATGAACTACATCCCAAACTTTCACAAAACACAGTAGACTACAAACCATCTCCTCTCTCCTTATATTGGTCTTTGTTTATAAGATTACTAGTATAGAACCTTACACAGAGTAGAAACAACCTCTATACATTGTATAAATATGGGCAAATTAGCCAAACCTCAAGGTTCTAAGGCCTTTGGTTCATTTGTTTCATATAGCCCATGGACCCAAAGTGGTGGGACTGATTTCCACAGAGAAATCTATCACAGGACAGCAACATACATTGTTCTCTTCCATTCTTGAATTTGACAAATGTAAGTAATGTTATAACTGACTCTTTCTAGAATTAACAGTGACATTTTTTGTTTATAAATTAAATTACAGCCAGACACAGTGACTCATGCCTGTAATCCCAGCACTTTGGGAGGCCGAGGTGGGCAGATCTCTTGAGCTTAGAAGTTGAAGACTAGCCTGGACAACATGGTGAAACCCCACCTCTACAAAAGATTTTTTAAAAATAGCTGGGTATGATGGTGTGCATCTGTGGTCCTAGCTACTTAGGAGGCTGAGGTGGGAGGATGGCTTGAACCCAGGAGGTGGAGGTTGCAGTGAGCTGAGATATTGCCACTGCACTCCAGCCTTGGCAACAGAGACAGACCCTGTCTTCAAAAAAATAATAATAAATAAAAACAAATTAATTAAATCACTTTGCCTTTAGTTAACTTACCATAATCCTTTGTTAATCAATATATAAATTCTCATTAGTCTTCTCTATAATTTCCTTACATTTACATTGGTTTCTAAGTTTGGATAACTTTAGAAGGCTATTTGTGAGGGTATTAATTGATATTATTGGAGAGTAGCAGAAGAGACCCTGCTGCTTTAAAATATGAAACACAGGGAAGATCACCTGGTTTGTAAATGATCAATGCTAAGTCATTTGTGAATTTTGGCAAAGGTGGTTTAATTTACTCTAACATTTTACTTATTTAACAAAGTCCTCATGCAGTGCTCACTGTCTGCCAGGCACTGCTCTGTGTGCTTAATCAATATGTACCATCTATGCAGAAGTTACTTTTTAAAAGTATGATGTTGAAACTATCAGTATTCTTTCCTTTGAAAGATGAGTGACAACAACAGCAAAAAACTATATTCAGCCGCTTTGTTGTGTCATGAGCAAAACAGAAAACAAATTAGCATCGATGGCATTGGCTTTCATGTAGATTAGAATACCCTCTCCTGGTATTCTTACGTATTCATAGCATTGTAACAACTGATGGTTTTTAAATTTCTCTACAAATCAATCCAGATTATGAAATCTGATGATCAGAACACCTAATTGTCACCAATCCAAATTTACCTACTGGAAAAAAGTGTTTTTTTCATTATATTTCTATCTTACATTGATTTTCTTTCCTGTTGAGAACCAAATTTCAAGCATTTACAGACTCCAGGTGGTTCACACCTCCTAGAAAGATTTCTCTAGAGAGCCATTTACTTCATTTTTTCAGTTCCTGCAGTGCCAGTAAACCTCGCAGAGGAAATGTTATGTAGAGGGAAGTGAACAACAAGGGAGGTGACTCCCTAAAACAAATGCAATAATAATTCAACACACTCCAGCCACACTGCAATGCAGAAACCAAGTAAACAAGCCATTGCTTTCGCATTCACTGTGCTAAGATGTGAGCATATCTGCATTATACCTGACAGAATCAACCTCTGAACAGCAGAGAGCTCAATGGTGCCAAAGCAGAAGTTGGCAATAGCACCAACAACTCTAGCACTTCTTGTTCCTATCCTCTTCTGTATAGTGCTTCAAGAAATAGGTCCCACCATAAGAAAAACAACAACAACAACTAAAGATGAGACTTCTGCAATCAAAGAGGGATAGAGTTAGGCTTGTCACACTTATGAGGAAGTTCAAAGCCGAAAACACAGGGCAAAACAAAGTTAAAGATAAAAGAACTGAAAGGCAATGCCATCTATGCTGATACTGAATTCCATTTTAGAAAAAGAAGAAATTAAGTGGAGGAACTTGTTGGAAGGGAATGCTCTGCTCTTCTTTATTTCTTATGTTTTCTTCCTATGAAACAAACATGTTAGTGTCACTCCAGCCTCTCCCTGCCCCCTTCCTCACTGCAGTCTGGGGGAAGAGGAGTGGCATGTGTGCTTGCTAAATTTGGAGAAGAATTTGGGAACTTATCTGGCCTATGCCAGTCAAGTGACACCAAAATGTGGGAGTGAGGAGCAAGTCTGTCCAGTTCTAGGTTCAAAATCAACAAGCTCACTAGAGTAATAGACTCTAAGCTCTGTCATCCAATCTGAATTCTATTAGTGGCAATAGGGACATTTTTTATTCCATATTTACTCTTGGCTCTATTTCTCAACTTGCTTGGAACCCACGTGGGAAAGAGAGTAGCCACTCATTAGAGACCACCATGGAAAGCCCTCAAACTTTCACTGTTAAAATAAAATACTCAGGGTGTATCCTTCTTTCTAGAGAGAATCAGATCACTTGTTCAAGCTTCCTATTCTTCCACTTTACCACTACTTTTCCACCAGTGAATCTCTAACCATCCCTTTCCCAAGCTCCTCATACCCTCTTGCTGTCTTTCCTGCCCCATCAAAGCTTGCTTTCATTTGGTTTATTTGTATCTAGATGTAAATGACTAATAACAATTTCTAACATGTTAGCTCATCAGAATTCAGCTTTTCAGATCCCTCAGGATTCTTTAACATTTTAGACTCAGAAGACCTCAAAATACAATGTCCTTATAGAAAATATAGTGGCATCAAGGTAATGGCAAATAACAAATGCACCTGAGAGAAGTTACGGATTGTACCCAGTGTGTCTTTGTGGTGGGATGGAATTTGGGGTCTGTGCATTTCAGAGAATATTTTTACTAAATAAAATAATTGGAGAGAGACTAGGCCAAAAACATAGTATTTTTTTCCAGCTAACTGGTAGTCATTCTTTAAGACTGATTTTTTAAATGTTGTCTTATTGATAAGATCTGACCTCATTTTCCTACATAGGGCAGTTCTTCCTCACCTGTGCTCCTCACAGAAATCACAAGGCTCTTCTCTCCCCTTTTTCTATTACAGTGCCTTGGGATTGTCTGCATATTCATCTGCCCACTAGTTTCTGATCCCCTCAAGAATGCAAGGAGTGTCCGATTGTCTTTGCATATCAGTCTGATAGCCAGAAGTATTCCATAAATTGGGGGGAGAGTTGGATGGAATTGTACCAGATGGTAGGAG
This sequence comes from Homo sapiens, assembly GCF_000001405.40. Classification (NCBI taxonomy): domain Eukaryota; kingdom Metazoa; phylum Chordata; class Mammalia; order Primates; family Hominidae; genus Homo; species Homo sapiens. The sequence goes on from NC_000013.11 coordinate 79,192,804, forward strand.
TTCAATGAGAAAGAGAATAAAAAGGCTCACCTATTTTGAAAGTATTAATCTTTTCTCGAAAAAACAAGAAATATTAGAGAGGCTCTAGGAGGCAGAAGAAAGAAGATGAACTGAGAAGAAAGGTTACAGAACGCAATAGAAATGGCTTTAGGGGTAGATGAGAACATGACACCCACATTTAGAAGTGTCGAAGAGATTAGAATAGTCAGAAATGTGATATGGGAGAGCAAAATTCCCCCAAAGAGACAGCATGGGGAATGGCTGTGCAATAGCAGTGCTAACAGGGACAAGGACAAGACACGATTAGGACTGCTCTGACCTAGGGGCAAACAACCACTGCCAAGGACCTTAGAAGGTCCATCTTTCACTATCTAGAAAACTGGCTGCAAAAAGATGTTCATTCTCTTAAGCAGTAAAGCCAAGTTCAAAGACCTGTACCCTTAAACTAATAAGTTAAAACCCCAAAAGAAGGATTTTAATAATTATGAAATAATTTGAGGACATAACAAGAACTTCTACTTAAGAAATAGAATCTTTTGATTAATAATAAAAAAAGGCAATATGGAATAAGCATCCAAAAAGTCAAATGTTAATAATATTCAGCCTTGAAAAGGAAGGAAGTTCTGACACATGCTACAACACAAATGAACCTTGAGGACATCCTGCCAATTGAAATTAGCCCATCATGAAAAGACAAATACTGCTCGACTTCACTTATATGAGGTTTCTATGTGTACTCAACTTCATCGAAACAGAATAAGTACAGAGTGCCAGTTTTGCAAGATGAAAAGTTCTGGAGATTGGCTATACAACAACATGAATATAGTTAACAGTACTAAACTGTACACTTAGAAATGACTAAGGTGCTAAATTTCATGTTATGCATTATTTACCACAACAAAAAATAAAAATAAAATGTTTAATTTTTAAACCTTTTTAAATAAACCAATAATGCTACAAATGATTTTCATTCAATTATCTTCAAGACACAAAGGAAAAGATAAAAAAAAAATTTCAACCATAGCCCAAGTTATGTGGGTATATTGGAATTATTTGCTCATCTTAAATTTTCACAGAAGTAACACGGACTTCTCCTTAAAACAAAAAATCAAAATTTCAAACCAACAAACAATATGCTGTCAGTTTATTTCATGGTTACATCTTGAATTTAGCTAAAAAACACAAGGCAAAAATTCTCTGATGCTGTATGTCTTCAATATTTGCCCACCTACCCCGAAACTAGACAGGTTTTGCATTCTTATGCATTTTTCTCAGATTTTGTGCTTAGATTACTTTTTTTCTTGCTTTTCAAAAGTGCCTGAAACCTATTTCCTTATACCTTTGCTGTAATGAGGGGAAAAAAATTGTTTGATTAGAAATATTTAGGGGTGGGCAAAAAAATTTGCATTTCTGCTGACAGCTTCTATACTAAGTTTGGCCCAGTGGGATTAGAAGTCTCTGAGATATTAAACCTCGGAAAGAAGAATTTGTAATGGAAAGGCTGAAAGAACTTAATTATAGCCAGTAGCACCACTCAAATACTTTAAGCATCCTCAAATGTGCTGTGTTATCTTAAGAGAAAAAAAAAGATACAGAAAAGATGGAGGTTATGGATCAGACATAGGCATCACCAAAAAAGCAGTTTCACTTCTGGGTAATTTGGGGCAGCCAGTCTAACCACAGAACATCCGCAGTGCTATTTAAAGAACTAGAGAGATGTCACACTCATTATGACACCTGCAATCATTAAATCTGAAAATGACTTTAGCTAACTTCTCATGAGTGCCTCGCTCAGGACACCTTCCTTGTGTGTATTTAAGATCTAGAGTAGGAAGAGTCAATTGAGTTTCTCTTATCTTAAAGTAAAAGACAAACATCAGAAGGTCTCTGCTTTTATTTGCAAGAAATACAATTCTCCTATAATATATACTAGAGTTGACCCTGGAATAGATTGTTCTGTCATTTTCCTCATTTCTTCCTTTTCCTCACTTATAGCAGAAAAGTCTTACCCATTCCCCCACTCTAAGTGTCCCCTCTGAGCTGAGAAACTTGATGATCTTGTCACAGGTAAACAGGCAAAAGAACATCCCTGCACTTTCCACTGTCCTAGGCATGCGGCTGAATGCAGGGCTCTGCAGAGAGGAACCATCTCCACGCTGTTGTGCCTGTAGTATTGGGGCACCAGGTCCTCCACCTACATGATGAGAATAGTCTTTATAACTAATAATCCTTATATCAGAATAATTAGACAAACCTTATATTCTGAGGGGTACTGTCATTCTCTTAACCTAATTCCTGGAATCCAGTCCCTTATCTGTCTTAATCAAATTTTCTAAAAGTTCCTTCTCACTTCCATTGACTTAATGACTATTGTAGCTTTAGCTTCCTTTTGCATCCAAGACCACAGACTTCCACAAGTCTGCTTGATTTTCTTTTCCAAACACAAGGAGTCATTTTACTCATTGATTGCTATCAACCTATGACTCCTGATAGGCCTTATCATGTTTTAAAACCCTCATCCAAATTCCAATAGCTCTGTTTTCTGGAACCTGAACTGCCCTTCCACCCCCAGCCACCCAAATCTCTCCTATTTCTGATTCCCTGAGAGAATGTTTTCCCTCTCTCATCCATTCCATGAAGCAACACATTCTTTCATGGATTTACTGGAATTCGAGGGAACTGCCATTGCAGGTAAATCTTTCACATTCTTATGATGAATTCAGAACTCCAAAGTAGCAAAAGTAACATGATGAAGTCCAGATTAAAGTATTTTGTTCATCATTCAGATGGATTTTCACAGCCAGCTTGTATGTAATGATTAAAGTTGTAACCAGGAGCAGACTCCAGGCCATTTCTTGCTTTGCCTGGGAAACCTATTTAATGTAACAACTTCAGATCACTCTGTCCCTTGAGGCTTCTCTCCCACACCTATTAAAGAACACCACCAATAGAGATAGCTACCTAGATGACAACTGTAAAAAAGAGGAAATTTTGTCAAAGACAACCCCTATCATGGAGCTAAAATAATCAAGACTCTATCTAATGTCAAGCAACTTCCTTCTTAATATATACTTTTAGCTCCTGTACATATGTATTTATTTTTACTGCAAAATGTGAGATTACCATGTGCCTACCATATTCTAGGCACTGGGGATAACTGTGTACTGCTAGGCAGGAGGCCTGCCCTTAAGGAGCTGACCTTTCCCTGGCTGCTTGATTCTTTTTCTTCTTTATCTTTTTTATTGGCCATATCAGAAGCAGCTGTGAAACCAATTCATGCTTGTCTCTACTCTGCACTAACTTCTTCATTCATTTATTTAGTCTCTTCCTCATATCAGTGCTTCTAGATGAAACATTTTTTCTCTCCTAATATGCTTTTCCAAAATAAATTACTCATTTTGAGGTGCTTTTAGCACTATGAAAGACACTTTAGTGGCCCTCCTTAAAGCTGTCAACATGCACCCACATAGCCAAAGGTATCCTGTTGGAGTTGAACTGTACTATCCACAACCCAATATAACATGAGATAGTTGGGTTTCAAATGGTTTTGTAAGGTTGCCTTTCATTGGCGGGTGGTAATTCATCTTCCAATCAGGCCATCATCAACAAAAACACTTTGTGAGTAGAATACAATAACTCTTCTTTATACACTCCTGAGGTTATCTGAGTAAAATTTCTCATACCAAGCAACATTTCCTCAGTCTTTGAGCTTGCTCACCTTACCCTACTCTTATCTTCCCCAATCTCAGTCAGTGTGATATAGAAATAGAAACTCATTTTAGTACCCTCCTCGAGAGGCTGCTGTGTATGCCACCACTTTGTCTTTCAAACACTGATATGGATTGGCTGTGTCCCCACGCAAATCTCATCTTGAATTGTAGTTCCCATAATCCCCTTGTGCCATGGGAGGGACCTTGTGGGAGGTAATTGAATCATGGGGGTGGTTACCCTCATGCTGCTTTCATGACAGTGAATAAGTCTCACAAGATCTGATGGCTTTATAAAGGAAAATTCCCTGCACAAGCTCTATTGCTTGCCACCATGTAAGACGTGGCATTGCTCCTCATTTGCCTTCTGTCATGATTGTGAGGCCTCCCCAGCCATGTGGAACTGTGAGTCAATTAAACCTCTTTCCTTTATAAATTGCCTAGTCTCGGATATGTCTCTATTAGCAGCATGAGAACTGACTAATACAAACACACACACAACACATAGTGTTACTCAGAGTGCTTCTGTTATGCACATGGCTACTAAAAAGTCAAATTAACATTTAAGGAAATCACTCCCATCTATTGCGTCAAAACTGACTGAGCCAAAGGCAAACCCATGGAAGAATCAGAAATCAGTGTATCCTGAACTAACTTGAAAATCCTTACTCTAGACTGCAAATCAAATTTCCAGCTGATTTTTAGTGATGAACACTGCAGGTACACTTTTTGGGTAGCTTATGGACAATAAAATACCAATACGTAGTTCTCTTCTGGTCCATATAGATCAAAGCAAAGCCATTTACAAAAGATTTTCCTGCTTCATAATCCCCATGAAGTTGAAATTCACCTCTCTCAGACTTAATATTGTTTCTTTCTTCCCACAGTAAAGACCCGCCGCCTGTGAGATGACCCAGGCAGAAGTTCAACACTTTGGTACTTCGTGCCTCAGGCCTTTCACTAAGAAAATTGAGTGTGAGAACTTTATCTCCAAAAGTGTCTGCCTGTTGTGACATCTCTCCTGGGTCTCTGCAACCCTAAATTCTTCATTTCTTTTCAGAATTTAGCTGAAAAGCACTTTTTGCTGCCTGTTTATCTCAATGTCTGTCTCTCACTGCTAGTATTTATTGCTTATCACTGTAAGTCTTCATTGAATGTAATCTGTTTGGGGATACAGTTGGCATGAAAAATGCTTCACCAAATGAAGTTGTAAAGTATTATACATAAATACTTAATTCCTGGATTTATTTATTATCATCATTACTTATTTACCACCATAGGCATCCAGGACACCTTTGAAAGAAATAAATCTGGTGGGTTGCTCTCCCAAATTTTATCAGAATATCTTATAAGATATAAATTAATGTCATTATGTAATAAGTATTAAAATTCCTTATATGGCTAGTACACATTTTAGTTTATGAAAACTTGTACATATCTAATCTTCCCAGCCTTCCAATGGTGAAAATGATTGAGTCTCCAGGTTACAGGTCAAGAAACTGAGACTCAGAAAGTTTGAGTGATATTCCCAAGGTCACGTGAATAACGAATTTCAGAGCTGGGCTCAAACCCAGGTATCCTCCTCCAGGTCCTAAGCCCTTCTCTCTCCCACAGCTGCCTACAGGATCAGCAGGATGAAAGTAAACCCAGCAAGGGCCAAATGAGAAACAAAACAGGATCCATTGTCTCCTTTCTCTGCTTTGTGAAGCCTTCATGACAGGGTACAGTTTGGTATACACTGAATTTACATTTTATATTGGTGAAATTAACATGACTTTGTATTTAATTCAGGGTCATTGAACCCTAAGTTTACATTTGAGGTCCCCATACTGAATTTCTATTTGCAATAGTAGGCAAGCTAGAAAAGGCCACTGTAATTAGCCCTAATTAATACACTAGTTAGTACAATTAATGAGTTCTTTTCTCTATGTGCCCAAGAAATACTGGAGATACCTGAGCTACAATTAGGCCATTTAGTGGAAAGAGTCCTGTGCCAGCAAAGGGAGACACAGATCCATGTGGAGCAAAGAAAGGTGATGTTTGTTCATATGAGTGGAGTCTGTGACCTTTATTACTTTTAGATTATTAGAATGCATTTAAGTAATGGCTATACATGCTTGAAAGTCTGATGGGCCTTGGAAATACATTCAATTACATTTATTCCATCCAATACATCCTTACTCTGCCAATGACAGATACAGAGAAAAAAACTATGCAATAAGAATTTCCATGGCTAAGCAGTTATATACATTTTAGGGGATGTTTTGAAGCATTCTGTTTGGATGGTAAACTCATAGTCTCTTGCAACTTCATTTGTTTGTCTGTTTAGGAGTCTTTAACAGGGAAAATTACCTTTCCATCAGTTTTTTTGAAAGTATTCCAGATTTTACCATCCTTTTCAAGAAAATGTCTACCTCTCATTCAGGTAGTCCTACACTAAATCCAGTCTCATACCCTTGCGCATTCCCTGAAGGGAATAGGAACATGAGCCCCGAATTCCCATGGGAAGTCTGCTGCACAAACCAACAGAGAATTTCAGAATAATGCTGTTCTTGTCACTGGGAGCTCTGCAAATAACCTTTGCTTATATAATACAATTCAATCTAATTGATGTTACAATGAAATTCCGGCTCTGCAAATCTGTCTTATCTTTAAAAGTTGCCCCGTGTTACCCCTTCCTAAAGGAGTGTTTCAGTGCAAACCCCAGAGGCTGTGGACATGCAATTCCTCAAAAGGAATAAATTAACTATTGAATCTTATACTGGCAGTCGATGGAGCATAGTAAGTCCCCAAATAAATATACTGCCTGGAAAATTTGATTCATTTATAATAAAATAGATTAAATTGTCACCTTGAACTGAAAAATAATTACTCTTGAACTAAGTGTAACAGACCAAATGCATCTATTTTGGACAAGAAAAAAAGAGGAAAGGGATAAATAGAAAATGTAATGTCTCAGTTTACATAGAAACCATCTGAAAGAAATTAAAAAGTGGGAAATAAGGAATATAAAACATCATGCATATGGGCAAACAATGTAAGTGTTTTCCATGTTTTCTATTCACATCATTGATTTTAGTTCTATAATCAAAATTAGGAAGCACATGAGTTCAAAACTGAGTACCAGAATAATTAACTTACTTTTGATATCAAGTGGATAAAAATTAAGCTATTATGATGAGCATGTATGATATATTAATCCACAAATCATTAATAAAGTTATTAGTAATTTAATTTACCAAATTTATTTCTATCCCCAAAGGAATGGATTATAATAATAATTGGGATTTGTGACAGTTTACAACAAAGGTTATTTAGACAAGCTTAATAAAATGGAAAATAGAAATTCAAAATTATAGGCAGCCAGCCAACAAGTTAAGCTAACTGTGAAGATGATAACATTATTACAAATAATTAACAAATTTGGCTCTCAGCATCCATTGAACAAGGACAGAAAGGAAACATTTCTGTCATTTCACTTTCATTTCATTCTGTCATTTCATTTAAATTATCTCATAGAGGAAACATCAATTTTCTTTGAGGTTGCAATGTATTTCTGGGCACTAAATCTTTAAATAATGTTCTCAAGTAGAACCTTATCAAGAGTACTCCGAGTAAAGCAAAGGACAAAAAGTCTTCAATAACAGTATTGCTATCATTGGTGGTGGTGGTGGTGGTGCTTTTCACTTTGTTTCTTTTAGTCATAAATCTCAAAACCCATTGCCATTCCATAAATGTAAAATGTATTACACATAAATAAGGCAACATAACCATGCATTAGATTTCTGGTGGACTACCTTGCTCTAAGAGTAGGAAAAACATGTTTCTGAGACTACTTTCTTTAATTGCATATCATGTCTCTTCCATCAGGTTAAACGTAGAATCCAGAAAGATCATTATTGGCACTTATAGTATCCAAAAGGGTCTGGAGTGCTAAGATGCCATGTTGGCTACTGAAAACTACAAGAAGTAACCTTTAGAAATCTTACTAAAATTGCATCTATTATAAACCAGGCATCATTTGGGGCTACCCTGTCCCTCAAAGAGTTGTCAAGCTGGCTCCCCTGATTTCACTTCTATGTGAGTCCAGAATCCTCCATACATTTTTGGCATATTTCTGACCTGTCTGCTTTTCCATTCCTAATGAGATCTGCCATCTCAGTTTGACCCTGCACTATTTCCCATGAGAAAGCCAATGACCCTCATGAATACTGTGAGTTTAGTAAGTCAGCTCAGCTTGACAGTTACAGAAAGAGAGGTCGTTGTTCCCCACACAGCATTCTCCAGCCCACAGGCCTGCCTCCTGCTCCTCCACCTCTGAGAGAACCAAGACCCTTAAAAAATGTCCATGCCCACCATGGCCTACATCCACTGCATCTGGGAAATGTCCACGCCCACCATGGCCTGTCCACTGCTTCTTGGAAATGTCCACACACACCATGGTCTACATCCACTGCTTCTGGGAGATGTCCACGCCCACATGGCCTATGTCCACTGCTTCTGGGAGATGTCCACGCCCACCATGGCCTACGTTCACTGTTTCTGGGATATGGAGCAGCCCTACACTTTCACTCTGGAATTCAGCGGAATAACACGTCTGCTGTCTCACTACAACTTCTCACCCTGAAGAATTGGTGAGAAGAGCCATATTTATTTATGGCTGAGGCTTCTCCCCTAGGCCCAACCCCACAAGTGGTCTTACTTCTTTCCGGGAAAAACAATAATGGTTTCCGGAGCTTCTCCTCTCTTAAACCCAGAAGACCTCATCACTCTTCCTACTTCTATCCAGATGTTCATTTATTGGAAACTCCTGAGGGACAACCTGCGTGTAACAAGGTGGCTGCCTTAACCACAAATGAACCTGACAATTGATTTATGGAATCCGAGGCAGTTTAAATATTTTCTTAATCTATCTGACACGATGCTGAAGCCTTCCAAAGGGCAGGAGGTAAATAAATTCCTGTGTTTACACATGTTAGAGAGATCAGCTTCTCACAAGAGAATCACAGATGTGAGAATAATCACTGTTGGCAGGCTTGGGCCACCTTTGAGTCACCTCCTCACCAATGGTGAGAGGTACCTGTTCTTCCCCTCCTCCCTGCTCCTTCTTATATAGACAGCTTGGCAGTGGGAATGGAGACATGGAAAGCAATCATTCCCATATCAACCCACTGTTAATGTCTGAGCTGGTACCCTGGATTGACACTTTTGTTCAGTCTTACTCCCTCCTATTAACGAATTTCGTGCCCATCTTTTCCTCTTCCAAGATCAGTTTTATCAACCGTGAAATCTAGGGTGGCCAAAGTGGCATTTAAAGAGACCTTACCTCTCTTGGTCTGTGTTTCTCCAGTGATGCTTATCTACAAAGGGCTTCTTCCGCAACTAGCACTGACCATTAGTCTAATTTTTTAGGACACATGCTATGACATATTTTCTAATGGCCCATTGCAGGAGGCTCTCAAATAATAGTATGTGTGTAGTGACCCTTTCTTCTCTATTTTGTTTTATGAGCAGGAGCTGGACATTAGGATGCACACGAGTCCAAAATTTGGTATCAAAGTAATTAACTCACTTTTGAGTCCCAGCAACAACCACATGGCTGAATGAGTACTGTCAGACAATGTGGCCCAAATGTCACATACAGCCTTTCTGTCCCTTGAATATTAGCTCAACTTTGATCAAAATGCCCAGCTTCATAGCCCCTGTGAATTGAGCTCTCTCCCTATAATTTTTGTGGATTTTTTTTCTCAAAAAGGGTAACACTGATGTTTGTTGTGGACTCTTGACCTTAATTCCTCTGGTTGCTCTCAGTTCCTATATGGGGATCTGACACCCGAGTTCTGCCCTCTCACAAGTCACTGTACAGACCAAAAATATTTCACTGTTTTCCACAAGAAATGCAATTACATTCGTCAACTTAGTGAATTCAACAATGTGTCTGAAGCTCTAACAGGCTACAGAGAGTATCGTCCCTCACACAGCTTTCCCCATCTCACTGGCTCCCTCCATTAAGTTGATGTATAACCCTTCCTCACACAGTCTACCCATTGAAAAATAGGATCCAATCCACCTGCTTAATACTGTTTCTTTTTCAGGTAGCCACATCTCCAGGAAAGTCCATTTCCTCTAAGTCCCTTGGAATTTCAAAACTTAAAAATTTTCTTCAATCACCTACATTACGTTGTTGGGGAAATGCTCCTGCCAACAGCCAACACCTGAAGGGTCAAAGAAAGAAAAATTAAATGCAGTCATGCGCCACAAAATATTTTGCTCAGTGATGGACTGCATATGCCATGGTGGTCTCCTAAGATTGTAATAGAGCGATAAATTCCCATCACCTAGTACATTGTACGCATCATAACATCATAGCACAACACGTTATTCATGCTGGTGTAAACAAACCTATTGCACTGCCAGTTGTATAAAAGTATTACACATATAATCACACACAGTACATAATACTTGATATGATAATAAATGTCTGTGTTACTGGTTTATGTATTTACTATGTAGTTTTATACCTTTTTAGAGTGTATGCCTACTTATAAAAGAAAAGTTAACTGTAAAACAGCTTCAGGCAGGTCCTCCAGGAGGTATTCTAGAAGAAGGCATTGTTATCATAGGAGATGTCAGCTCCATGAGTGTTGTTGCCCCTGAAGTCCTTCCAGTGGGACAAGATGTGGAAGTGGAAGACAGTGATATTGATAAATCTGGCCCCATGTAGGCCTAGGCTAATGTTTGTGTCTTAGTTTGTAACAAAAAAGTTTAAATGCTAAAAAATAAATTTTTAAAAATAGAAAAAAAGCTTATAGAATAAGGACATAAAGGAAGAAAGTATTTTATACAACTCGGCAATGTGTTTGTGTTTTAAGCTAAATGTTATTACAAAAGAGTCAAAAGGCTAAAAAAATAAAAATTTTATAAATTAAAATGTTACAGTAAGTTAAGGTTAATTTATTATTTAAGAAAAAATAGTTTTGGCCCCATGCAGTGGCTCACGCCTGTAATCCCAGCACTTTGGGAGGCCGAGGCAGGTGGATCACAAGGTCAGGAGATCGAGACCATCCTGGCTAACACAGTGAAACCCCATCTCTACTAAAAAATACAAAAAATTAGCTGGGCGTGGTGGCGGGCGTTTGTAGTCCCAGCTACTTGAGAGGCTGAGGCAGGAGAATGGCGTGAACCCAGGAGGCAGAGCTTGCAGTGAGCCGAGATGGTGCCACTGCACTCCAGCCAGGGCAACAAAGTGAGACTCCGTCTCAAAAAAAAAAAGAAAAAATAGCTTTTAATGAATTTATTGTAGTTTTAATGTACAATGTCTATAAAGCTTACAGTAGTGTGTAGTAGTGTCCTAGGTCTTCACATTCACACACTGCCTCACCCAGAGCAACTTCCAATTCTACAAGTACCATTTATGGTAAATACCCTACACAGGTGTACGATTTTTAATTATTTAAACTGTATTTTTACTATGCTTTTTCTATGTTTAGATACACAAGTACTTAACATTGTGTTACAGTTTCCTACAGTATTCAGCACAGTAACATGCTGTACAGGTTTGTAGCCTAGGAACGATAAATTATACCATATAGCCTAGGTATATAGTAAGCTATACAACTTAGGTTTGCATAAATATACCCTATGATGTTCGCACAACAACAAAGTCACCTAACAACATAATTCTCAGAATGTATTCCTGTCATTAAGCAACACATGACTATGTACACAACAAAGTAATTTTTTAAAAATAATACATGTTTCTTAGAAGGACTGTTAGTATATAGCTCTTGACAAAGATTAGTTATAATATCAGTTACTATTTCTATTTAACAAATGAGTATCTATTATGTTCAGGCACAGTACTGTGTGTTAACAGTTCAATAGAAAACAGAGTCCTTCCCTTATGGAGCTGACAAACTAAAAGGAAAAACAAATATTACCAAAACATGTGATGACTATTATTTTAAAAATAAGTAAATTTTTCATCATCAGAATTGAAGTTTTTACATTGGAAGGAAATACTGGTAATGTTATATTAAAAAAAAAAAAAAACACCCTGGATTCCATCTTAGAAATAGAAAAGAGGCCAGCTGTGGTGGCTCACGCCAGTAATCCCAACATTTTGGGAGGCAGAAGCGGTCGGATCGCCTAAGGACAGGAGTTCAAGACCAGCATGGTCAACATGGCGAAACCCCATCTTTACTAAATAGACAAAAATTAGCCAGGCGTGGTGGTGCATGCCTATAATCCCAGCTACTCGGGAGTCTGAGGCAGGGAGAATTGCCTGAACCTGAGAGGCGGAGGTTGCAGCAAGGCTGAGATCGTGCCACTGCACTCCAGGCACTCCAGGCTGGGCAACAGAGCAAGACTCTGTCTCAAAACAAAACAAAAAAAAATAGAAAAGAAAAGGTGACTTTTAAGAGCTTCAGTGACTCGTAGAAAAATATCAAGGAGTCTGATTTTTTGTTGTAGTCTGTTTTGCATTGCTGTAAAGGAATACCTGAGGCTGGGTAACCTATAAAGAAAGGTTGATTTGGCTCACAATTCACAGGCCGTTCAATAAGCTTGGCACCAGCATCTGCTTCTGGCAGGGAACACAAGAAGCTTTCAAGCATGGTGGAAAGGGAAGGGGGAGCTTTCATGTCCCATGGAAAGAGGGGGAGGAAGAGAACAGGGAGGAGGTGCCAGACTCTTTTTCTAACAACCAGTTCTGGGGGGATCTAAGAGAAGAACTCACTCATTATCATGGTGATGGTAGGGAAGGCACCAAGCCATGCATGAGGGATCCAACCCCCTGACCCAAATACCTCCCACCAGGTTCCACCTCCAACGTTGGCAATCAAATTTCAACACAAGATTTAAAGGAGACAAATATCCAAATGATGTCAAATACATACATAATTAAAGTCACAGAAGAGAGAAATATTGGAATAGAAAAAATTTTTTTAAGAAATATGGTGGCAAATGTTCCAAATTTGACCATAAATATCCACAAACAGATTGAAGAAGACCCAAACAGGATAAAAACAAAGAAAACCAAACCTAGGAACATAATAGACAAATTGCTGAAAACCAAAGGTAAAGAAAAAAACTGAAGAACAGAGTTGGGTCCTATAAAAAAAAAAAAAAAGAAAGAAAAAAGAAACTAAGTACAGTAAAGAGGACATGTTGGCTCTTTCAAAGCAAGAAGATCAAAGTAAAATAAGTTCCTATGCTTTTGAAGTATGTGTTGACACCAGAGAAAATGAAATTATTCAATTTTTATCTTGCATATACATTATCAAGGGGAATTAGATGCAAACTGAAAGTGAAGCATAAAGCTCATTAGGATTCGTAGAAGACTAAAGACATAATTGTCCATCATGTCTTAATATTATGGCATAACTTTCAGAAGGCAATCTTATGTGTATGGGTCTTTTTAAGTATATATAGGTAAATTATCTGTCATCCTGAAATTTAGCCTATGGAAATAATCTAATTGTCTAAGCAGAAGAGAATGATTAAGTAGAATTGTGGTTGAACCACAGGACAGAATGTTATGCATCATTGTAAAAGATGCTTCAAAAGTATCTATAATAACATAAGAAAGCTTTTATTATAATTTAAAGTAGAAAATAGCAAGGTATACAGCTGTATATGTAACATGATTGTAACTACTTTGGTGGAAGATTAAAGCATGTAAAAATACTGAAAAGAAAACAACAAAATGCTAAATAGCAACAGTTTTTTAATGGGGGTTTAAAGTGCTGTTTTACTTTCTAGTTCTGAGTCCAAATGTTTTCTATTATAAAAATATATTATCCTTACAGTCGTAAGAAGATAATGTTTAAAAGAAATTAAGTATATTATTTTGTGAAGTACTAGATTTTCTATCACATGATTAATTGAAGATATTTGACTGTCAGCCTGTAATAAACAGGGTTCCTTTACTGGAAAGAAAGATATACATAAGGATCTAAGCCCTCCCAATTCTGAGATACCATTAACTCTGATTATTCCATATTTTAAAATTTATAAGTAATTTGGCAATTGAAAAAATGGTAGTAATTATTTTCTTCTATTCCAAAATTATAGATCAGTCAATAACTTTTTAAAGAAACATACTTTATAAAACGAGATTTTCAAAATCAGAAAGGTCCTCATTTGGCCATGCCATCTCTCTGCAGTTCCTGCTTCTGAGCTTTTTCTTCGTGAATAGCAGCTAAGTTTTTCAAAGTTTGACTCTATACATTTGCCCCTATTAACTGGCTAATATTTAATACCTAGAGTCTGTGTTTACTGAATTATCCGGTCTAATAATAGATGTAGTTTGGTTTACTCAAACTGAATTGAAAATAACTATGAATTCAACTAATTTGTCATATTTTTGGTTTAATCAAATAGCCTGTATGCAATCAATAAATTGATCCAAAAATGTGATCAAACTTGTGTTAAATCTGGTTAAAATTGTACTCTGAAACAAAAGGCCAGTGGGTCTCTGTGGCAGAATGAATTTTGGTGCCTCACCCAGGTTTCCTTTACTAGGGCATACAATATACTCTCAAAGAAACCAACTAACTACCTACTGGTAAATTGGTGGCATCAGACATCTCCCATTCTGGAAAGGGAAGCAGAGCCTTCTAACCAGGATTGATAAACAGTACAGGTTTGCCCTTGTCACCCATAGGTACTGAGCTAGCACCACTATCAAAGGGTTCACGGAATGTGTGATCTACAGTCGTGGAATCTATGTAGTATCACTCCAGATCGAAGGACCCACTTTATGGCTAAAAGGTGTGGCAATGGGCATATCTATGTGGGGCACACTGTCCTAACACTTTCTACATCATAAAGAAGCTCCCATCCAAACAGAGTGATGAACCCATCTCTTAAAGATGTAGCTGAGACACCAGCTTGAAGATGAGATCCTATGAGGATAGGTGCTATTCTTCAGGATTTAGTAAATTTCTTCAATGAATGTCCATTACGTAGTGCTATGTCTCCAATAGATAGAATACCTTTGAGCAGTTATCAAGTAATGGAAAGGTAGAAGTAGCTCCATTCACCTCACTTCTGATGACTCACTTAAAGAATCTGTGTTTCTCATCCCCCTATGTATAAGGCCTAGGAGTCTAGAGGTTCTGATTGCAAGATGGGGAAAATGCCCACCCAAAGGACACAGCAAAACTCCAACTAAAGTCAAAGCAATGACTACCACCTAGTCACATTTGGCTTTTTATGTTAATAGGCCATTAGGTAGAAAAAGGAGCTACTCTTATGGCCAGGAAAATTAACCATCATCATCATGAGGAAGTAGAACTGTCACTTAATAATGAGAACATAAATTAATATGTCTGGTCACCTGCCGGTACATCTCTTGGTACATCCGTGCCCATTTATTACTATAAATGGGCAAGTTTAACAACCCCAGTTTCACAAAGGCATGCTAACTGGGAACTCAGGCCCTGCAGGGATGAAGGCTATATAAACCCAAAATGCAAGCCACCTAGACATCAGCTGGAAGTGCCAGCTGAGGGTAGGAGGATCAGAAATACGTAATACAGAGGGGAGATGATGAGTATCAATTGCAGTAGTGGGGGTTGTAGTTTATCTCATCAATCCTTCTATTACATTTCCCTAGGAATTGTGATCTCAGGATTCACATGTTTGAAGTGAATTTAATATGCGATGCAAGTGGACCTGGGGAGGGGTGGACTGTGAGGGTGCTGTTTTGATACCCCACCGACATCTCCTTAACCCTTCTTAGCCAGATCAGAGGATCCATCTCTCAGCTGCTGTGAGTTTTGGCTGCCAAGGACACACGGTTGCCCACCCGCTTCTCTGAAGATCACCCTCTATGAATAGGAACTGCCTCACCAGGTGTATGACAGACACACCTGACAGCGATAACTTAAGCATAACCTGAGAATGAATGACCCAATGGCCTAAGAAGACTGTGTGTTTGGAGTTCTGAGCTATGAAATCAGGAATGGCCAACCTGGAGGTTCATTCCTTATCTATGAGGAATATCTGAACCCCCGGCCCATGCTGTGGAATGCAGACTGCACAGGGATTGAGGCCCTTTGTTCTAGGTTAAAGGAAGGTTGCCAGGTGGAGGTTGCTAGGAGGAGGGTGCTATGTGAAAATGCTCTATAAACCGCATGTTTTTACAAGTGGTAGTGGTTCTTCTGTCCAGCCCACCACCACTGGGCTGCCCTGTAATTTACCTCAAAAAACCATATGTCTCTTTCACTGGCTCCAGGTCTTTTTTCAGCCTCTTGAACTTGATGCCATCCCTGTTGAAGTTAGTAGGGGTTCAACATGGCACCAGGGAAGAACTGCATAAATCTCCCCTACCTCCTAACCCCATGCATCCCACAACATGTGACTGACTGAACTGAAGGTACTAAATACTGCCACCCCTGCCTCAAAGGGAGACAACTTCACAGCCTGTCCCTGAGGATCCGTTTTACTTGAGACCACACCATCACTCCACTTTTTCCTCTTCTCCATCCTGCTTCACTCTCAACCTCACAGATTGTTCTGAAAATCGCTTCCTCAACAAATCATGTGCCATGATTACAACTACCATATCAAAGGCTCTGCTCCTAAGGAACAGGAACTAAGATAACCTCAAACTTTATTTTGTATAAGAATCGGTAATCAATAGGAGGGTTAATTGAAAATGCAGATTCTTTGACCTTACCTCCGAAGAAGTGAATACACACATGGTGTGCCTGGAGTTGGGTATTTTCAAGAACTCTGAATATGGATTAAACACAGCAGTCTACTGACCACTCTGAAATCCACTGGTCTAGATCATCAGTACACACTATCGACAAAGGAAAGCTCTAAGCACCACAGACATGGCAATGCTCTCAAGTCAATGCTGAGCATAAGTTTCTCTGCATTTACTCTTGGGTCTTCCATATTCTAACATGTAACAAACCTCTAACCTCAACTTTGGGATATGACATTCACTCTACTCATGTTTACGACTTCAAAATGTTAATAAAACATGATAAGTGCAAAAGTCAAAATAAAGTAGGAGAGGTGGCATGAAAGTAATGGACTGCACATTCTTAATTTAAATCATATATATTTATTCACTCACTCAGTAACTGAATCCTAACCAAATGAATTTGTAATATATTCCAGTCTAGTTTTGTTAGGATTTGTGCCTTATGTATAATGTGAAAACAAATAAAATATATTGCTAGGTCAACTTGTATTATTCATGCATATAAAGTTCTGTGTATCTGCCCACACAATTGAGAAGATGCATTACGAAGTCTATTACAATAACCAAAAAAAGGTTATTTGAGTCAAATCAAAACAATAAATAGGCTAGAGAAAAACTGTAAAATATTTGTTTTACACTTTTCTCCAGTGACACATAAAACATTATCTTCTTCTCTAAGCAATTATGAACATTTCTACTCTGTCATATGGCATAAAGTGGAGATTTGTTTAAAATCATTTATGTCTGTAAAGTCACACAAGCTTCCTTGTACTTCAGAGAAAGTATATTTTTGATCACTTCAATTGTTAAGAGCTCACAGTTCTTATTTGTAGTTATACTCAGATACATGAAAATATAGAAGCGGTCTTAACCAACCTCTAATTAACTAATCTATCAGATTCACTACACATTCCATTCCCTCTATGAAATAGTCCAGCAGTTATTGACAGTATGCAGAATACTCTCGAATGTTAGGTTTCTCTCTACTATGCCCATCCATTTCCTCTCCTCCAGGTGGGTGGTACAGTCCGTGAAGAGTTAGTTGTGCGCCAGGCACGGTGACTCATGCCTGTAATTCCAGCACTTTGGAGGGTCGAGATGGGAGGATCACTTGAGCCCAGGAGTTCGAGATCAACCTGGGCAATTCAGTGAGACCTTGTCTCTAAATTTAAAAAAATAAAATAAATTAAAAGAGTTAGTTGTTTATATTCACAAGGCTTGTCTGTGATCTCAGTTTTTATTGTATTATTTAATGTTATTACATCAACCTCTAAACACAAGTTCTAAAACAGATGTTTCTTTGAAAACTGAGATGAATACTTTGAAGAGACGTGCTAATGTAAAGCTTCTTTTAAAAATACTCTGAATGCCGGGAGCAGTGGCTCACACCTGTAATCCCAGCACTTTGGGAGGCCGAGGCAGTAAGATCACTTGAGGTCAGGAGATCAAGATTATCCTGGCCAACATGGTGAAACCCTGTCTCTACTAGAAATACAAAAATTAGCCAGGCATCGTGGCGTGTGCCTATAGTCCCAGCTAGTTGGGAGGCTGAGGCAGGAGAATGTCTTGAACCTGGGAGGCAGAAGTTGCAATGGGCAAAGATCGCGCCACTGCACTCCAGCCTGGGGGACAGAGAGAGACTCTGTCTCAAAAAAAAAAAAAAAACACTCAGAAATTATAGAGAATTATGAAACGAAAAGAAAAATAGGAAAATTCTAAGAGAATTTTGTGCTCTCTCAAATTGCTTTCCAGAGGTCTTTAACTTTTTGCTCTTTCTTAAAGAATCCCAAGCTTGGAATTATCAAGGACCCAATATCAGTGTGGTGTGCACAAGAAATCCTGGCCCTGCAATGAGAATCATACACAAAGGATAGACCTCAGCTCCATCTTACTGGTCAATGAATTCACAAGTATGCACATTTATATATGGAGTTTTAAAAGATCGTTAAACCTTTAATCAATGTTCAATAATGTCCTGCTTTAAGTGATTCTTTTTTCCAATTAACTCCCAAATGAGCAGTCTTAATCACAGCCCCATTAAAAGCTTCTACCATACCAGCTGGCCCTGACAATATAGTCAAGATGAGAAATAAAGTTATACAACTTTTCAAATTTTTTAATAAAAAAGTCAAAATAGAGATGTATTCATGGCAGTTCTCTCTTTTGCTTTTACATTAACAGATAAAATTGTGTGTATTTACTGTGTACTACATAATATTTTGTATATATACATTGATGGATGATTAGATTTAGCTAATTAATGTATGCATAACCTCACATACTTATTTTTACGGTGAGAATACATCCACTTTCATAGCATTTTTCAAGAATTTAACACATTATTGCACAATAGATCTCTTGTGCAATTTATTCCTCCTGTCTAACTGAATTTTGTATATTTTGACCAACATCTTCCCAAGCCCCACCCCCAACCACCCTAGCCTCTGGTAACCATTATTCTATCTACTCTCTACTTCTATGAGATAAACATTTTTAGATTCCATGTTTGAATGAGATTATGTGGTGTTTGTCTTTCTATGCTTGGCTTATTTCACTTAGCATAGTGTCCTTCAAGCTCATTCATTTGCCATAAATGATAGGATTTCCTTCTTTATGATTGAATAATATTTCACTGTGTATATACACCACATTTTCTTTAATTATTCATTCATTGACAGACACTTAGATTGATTCCATGTCTTGGCTGTGAATAATGCTGCAATAAACACAGAAGTGCAGATATCTCTTCTACGTACTGATTTCATTTCCTTTGCATATATACTCAATAGTGGGATTGCTAGAGCACATGGTAGTTCTATTATTAATGTTTCGAGGAAACTCCATACTGTTTTTCATAATGGATGTACTAATTTACATTCCCACCAACAGTGTGCAAGGGTTCCCTTTCCTCCACATCCTCACCAGCATTTATCTTTTGTCTTTTTAATAACCGCCATTCTAACAGGTGTGCTATCTCATGGCAGTTCTTTTAAACAGCTTAACTACATAGAGGGTAAAGCAAACACTGAGAGGTTCCACGGAGCTGGAGAGAGTCGAAAGTTAATCTTTCATGTGAAGATGCATAAAGGTGCATGATTAAGGGTTTGTTTGTTTTTTAATGCAGGCACCTTGTTTAGGAGGCAAAATTTGTGAGGAAAAGCAAACAACACTTCTCTGAGAAGACAGGTATGTCATTCAGACCTGGATTTCTATAGTTCAAAGAGCATTTAGATGAGAACAAACCGTACAGTTAGAGATCGGTCAAATAACCTTTTATCGCATTAGAATTTGATGTTACTTCAAAGAACAGCGCAGTTTGCACATTTACACGGCCTTCTTTAGGTACATGGTTGTTGATTCGGTTTAAGGAGGAAAGGCGAAAAGAAGGGAATTCAGAGAAGCAACCACATTCCAAGCACTGTTAGGTGCTCCATCTACATTAAGGTATTTAATGTATCTCTATTCTTTACAGCTGAAAAAAGTAACACCAGCTGCAATTACTCTCCCCAGTCATATAACTTGAAAATATTTGTTTCAGGATTAGAACCCAGGAGTTTTAACACAACATCCTGTGCTTTTTTTCCAATATACTCCTCCACTGAATTCGTTGATTTTCTATCTACTCCTTTTCTACTTCTTAAAGAAAGAGATTTTGAAAACATGTGGCTTCAAACTGTGCTTCCATCATAATGAGACATTGTACAAACCACTGAAATTTTTTAAGCCTACTTGATTGCTGCTTTTTAAAACAAAATAATCAAAACATAAAAAGGGTAGAGAAAAAGTAATAACACAGTGTACCCAATGCACAATTTTGTTATATTTGTATCAGATCTTTTTTAGTCACTAAATAAACATTACATAGATTTGAAGCCCCTTCTCTCTCTAGAGATAACCACTTTCCTGAAGTTTAAATGTATCACTCCCCTCCATTGTTTTATATTATATATAATATAAATATAAGTAATATTTGTAAGAGTACTATAAAAATAGCATATATAGTACTAAAATAAATATATATATAACAGTACTCTATATAGTACTGTTTGTGTGTTTAAATTTTCCATACATGATATGCTGTACTTACCATTTTGTGATTTTTTTAATTCAGTATGACATTTTCAAGATTTTTTTTTTTTTTTTTTTTTTTTTTTTTTTGAGACAGAGCCTCACTCTGTCTCCCAGGCTGGAGTGCTGTGGTGCAATCTGAGCTCAACCTCTGCTGCCTGGGTTCAAGCGATTCTCGTGCCTCAGCCCCTCAAGTAGCTGGAATTACAGGCCATGTTGGACAGGTTGGTCTTGAACTCCTAACCTTCAGTGATCCGCCTGCCTTGGCCTCCCAAATTGCGAGGATTACAGGTGTGCACCACATGCCTGGCTGGATTTATCCATGTTAATGAATACATATGTAGTAATGTATATAGTTAATTTCAACATTATTTCCTTGTATCAAAATTTATTCATAAATCTGTTCATAGATATTTAAGTAATTTCCAAAATATAGTTTTTAAAAACCATGCTGCAACAAACAGCATTGCACACTTAGTCAAACACTTCTTTAAGACAGAATGCCGAGCTTCATCTCAGCCTTTCCAGATCATAATCTCCAGGGATAAAACTGGGAAGATGTATGTTTCACAAGTCCCCCACTCAGCCATTCTGAGTGATTCTTAACCTCAGGGAAGCTTTGGGAAAACCACTTTAGACAGAAGTAAAACTTGCATCATAGTACGTGCTCATCTTCCACTTTTCAAGATATTGCCAAATTGTTCCCCAAAGTAGAATAATTTACATGCCCACAAACAGGATATGATTGTAATTTCCCCACATCATTGTCAACACCTATCATTGTCAAAGTTTAGGTCTTTGCCAGTCTGGTAGAAGTAAAACAGTATTTCATTGTTGTTTTAATTTTCAAGTTGCTTTCTGTTTACCTGTAAAATTGAGCAAACTTTTACCCATAATTGGCTATTTGAATGTTCTCTGTGAATTGTTTGCCTCTTTTCTAGTGAGTTTTCTCTTATTGATTTGTAGGAATATATATTCTGGAAACTAAAAAGTTGAATATTACAAAGCTTAATAAAATAAAAATGAAAAATCCTATGCCCACCCATATCACTCCTGAATTTTTCTCTTGAGAATGAATCATTTTATATAATTTTAGTGCTTTTTATAATATTTATCTTCATATTTCTAAGAAATATAATTATATATGTGGTTATTATTGATTTCCTATATGGAAGGTAAGGGTTTAGCATTCTTGCAACATTACCTTATCCTCCCAATAAAATTATAACTTGATTTCTTCTTAAAAATATTATACTTTAGAATGTTATGATCATATAAATATTGATCACTGTCTAGATCATTACTACTATTATCATATTTTCTTTTCTTTTCTTTTTTTTTTTTTTTTTTAGAGACAAAAGCCTCACTCTGTTGCCCAGGCTGGAGTACAGTGGCAGGATCATGGCTTGCTGCAGCCTCTATCTCCTGGGCTCAAGTGATCCTCCTGAATCAGCCTCCCCAAGTAGCTGGAACTACAGGTGTGTGCCACTACACCCGGGTGATGGCTAACTTTTTTTTTTAAGAGATTAGGTCTCACTATGTTTCCCAGGCTAGTCTCTAACTCCTGGACTCAAGGAATCCTCTCACCTCAGACTCTCAAAGTGCTGGAATTATAGGTATGAGCCATTGTACTCAGCTGTATTTCCTTTTTTTTTAAAAAACATAACTTTTGTCTTCCTGGAGTTAATAATTGCTTAATTTCTACGTATAGTAGAATATATATGCTTTCCTTTCATTAATTCTCTATAAAGTTTCCCACCTCTCTCAGTACTATTTTCTACATAAATATATCAAATGATCTTCCTTTTTCTTCTGCACCCCTTTGTGCTTCTGCTCCAGTTTGGACTTCTCATTGTTTTAACTGGGTACACAGCTCTCTGTCTGGAACCCCTTATTTTTACCCTGGGAATTCCCTTTGCTACTCCACTCTGTGAAATCCTCTGGGTTTGGGGATTCTGCCTTGTTTTTTCATGTATTTTATTATTTTAGTGGAGCACATCCTCTAGTACCTTTGTGAGATATTTTTTGACATCTTTCAAATCTGAAAATGTTTATTCCATTCTCAAAAGTAATATATGCATACAAACCCATAGTTTGGTATACAATTCCGAGGTGAAAATTATTTTTCCTCCTATTTTGGCAGTTTTTCTCCTTTTTGGCCTGGCTTCCGAAGTTGTTGTTGAAGAGTCTAATATAATTATCATTCACAGTCCTCCATATTTAACCTGTTTTTCTTTTCTCCTCTAAGGGCTTTTAAATTATTTTCTTATCCCCAGTGTTCTGAAATTTCGTAGTAATGTTTGTGCCTTTTTTGGTCTTTTGTTTGTTCATGATGCTAATCACTTAGGATGGCTGGCTTGGGCCCCTTTAAATGTAGAAATTTAAGTTCTTTAATTCTGAAAAATCATTTGTGTTATTTGGTTGATAATTTTATACTCTCCGTTTTCTCAACACATGTGCTCTCTCTCTCTCTCTCTCTGGAATTTTGGTTCATTTTATATGGGAACTCATGGGATGATCTCCTAATATTCTTATTTGCCGATATAACAGAATACTATAGACTTAGTTGCTTAATCAACGAATATTTATTTCTCACAGTTCTAGAAAGTGGGAAGCCCAAGATTAAGGTGCTGGTAAATCCATTGTCTGATGAGGGTCTGCTTCCTGGTTTGCTGACAACAACCTTATCGTTGTATCCTCATATGGTAGAGACAGAGACAAGAAAGAAAGAGTGGAAACAAGCTCTTTCATCTCTTCCTATAAGGGCATTAATTCTATTTATGTGGGCTCCACTGTTGTGACCTAATTACCTCTCAAAGGCACCAACTCCTAATACCATCAGATTGAGAGTTAGAATTTCAGCATATGAATTTTGGGAGCATGCAAACATTCAGTCCACAGAACATACATTTATATGAATATATATTCACACACACATACACTTCCAAGAACTCTTTCTTGTTCTTTATTCCTTTGATGGTATTCTCTTCTTGTTTCATGAATGCAATATCTTCTCATCTTTCTGATTTTTTCTTATACATCCTGCTTTGCATATATTTCCTCCAAAGTATTGTTCCCATGTTTGTTTTTGTCTCTATCTTTGATGATAGAGGCTTTCCTTAAATGTATAATAAAGGTCGATTGTGAATTACTAAAAAGCTGCTTAGAAAGTTTGTGCAAGTGGATAAGGCTTATAGACTTCTAAGGTTGCATTGTGGAGTAATTTTATTTAGGAGAACCAAATATCAGTGTCTATATCTATTTTCTTTGCTACCGTTCAGTTTGTCTGGAAGTATAAAAACCTGGCTTTCAAAATTCTGGATACCAATTGAGGGTGGTGGTTGGATGCAGGGGGTAACCACCTGGGTGCAGCGGGGCTGGAGTCTCTCAATTCATCCAATATAATTTAATTTAACCCTTCTGTTTTCAACAAAGAGCCTTAAGATGACCCTCTGCTGTGCCAGAGACTACTCTGGAGAATAAAACGCATGTCTCTTGCCATCGTCCAAGAAACAGTTATCACGCAATATGGGGTAAGATTGGGAGTCAAGGGAATAAGTGCTCCTTGGATAGACTTTCAGTGAAGTCTCCTATGCTCAGCTCTAATCTCATTCTTTCTAGTCCCAAAAGCCTCTCTTTCCTAAGCCCTTCTAGGGTTCTGTGAAGGGAATCAGCCTGTTTCTCTGGGAAATCTTCTCTCCAGGCAGTCGAGTTTCAGTTTTCTCTACTCTCCTACATCAGTTACCTCTCCTACACTGGTTTTACATTTTCCCAAAATGTGAAGTTGTCTCTTGTCCTTGGCCATTTCCTAACTCTGTTTTTGTGGATCTTGTAGGAGAGGGTATAGATAAATGCTAAGTTTATCTTTACTTACCTGTCACCTTTAAGTGGAAATCCATTACAGGTATCTTCTCCTAGCCTATAATTAGTCTTTGGAGTTGATCTTGTTCTCTTATAAAATGAGCATAACAATAATAATAGCAATAACAATACTCATTCATCTTCTTTAGGGTGTTCTTGTGAGGCTCCAAAAGAAGCAAATGTATGAGACCACACTTTGTAAACTGCAATGTGCCATATGAATTCTACTTGCTATTACAAATATTAACGTTAATCTAGTGGAGAAGAGGAAACCTATGAAAAGCTAATTGTGTATAACTTTATAAATAATAAGAACAATGATGGAGATATGTGTGTGCAATTATGGAAGCAGAGACGTGTGAGTGAATACCTGGTGATGGAACCAGTGAATGAATATGTCAACCCAGTTTGGATGTTTGTGAATGGCTTCTTGAGAGTATCAAGACTGAGTTAATATTTAAATGCATCAGAGGTTATTGTTTATCTCGTTCTTTAACAAAAGACTGAATAATTCTGATTAGTTGTACATAAAAAGGGCCAAAGAAGATCACAAACCTATTCCCTTCTCTAAATGAAATCATCTGTTCATTCACCCAGGTCACCAAGGCACATTGCCTCAAGGAATTTAAGTTGGAGAATATATTTTTATAACAGAGAAAATAAGGTAGATAATAGAAATAAAAGTTCTGATTGTGCAGATAAATATTAAATTTGTAATAAGGAGACTTGATCTTCCCAAAGGGATAGTGAAATAATATCCTTTCCTTCAGAAAAGCTTCTGCTACTTTCCAGACATTTTCACAAAGAGAATCTCACTTAATCCTCACCATAGTCCTTTAAAATATCTAGATTCAATCCTGTTTTTCAGATAAGAAATTGAGGGATCAAAAAGCTAAGTTATCTGTCAGATTTAGAGTCAGATTTTGAATCCAGATCTCCAAATGCCAAGGAAAATGTTTGATGGATTGCCCTACTCCAAGCACCGGCCACCAGTCGTCTCTCGCAACTATCTCTCATGATGGAAATGGATTGAGGCACATACTAGGGTGAAGGATCAAAGTGGGGACCACTCACAGACCAGGGGATCATTGGCAGATGTCCCGTGGCATATGCCAGCACATTCTGTCAGTCCCTTGAGGGTACCAGAGCACCAGGCAATCAAAATGACAGGTTGTACAAAGATCCACACTCCTTACAAATGGTCTTCCTTTTCCTTTTGTTTCATTCCTTCTGAGCAGCTGGTATCTTTCAGCAAACTATCGGTATTATATTTAAGACATAGTACATCATTAAAATAAAGCTTGGGGCTAATAATTATGTCTTGTTCAGGTGTTTTATGACTAAAGATTCTGACTTTCCCCCCAAGGTTTCCAACTCACTCTTTTCCAAATTGCTTCTCTCAGGACATTTGTTACATTGTGGACGTGTCCGCAACAATTAAATAGCAGTTTAATCCTCCCTTTGCAGATCTTTCTTTTTGAGGTAGTGTCCTGGAGCCTAAGCTGCTTGCACTTTCAAGGTGGTATTTATGGAGTCCTCAGTTGGCTGTGCAGGTGTGGCTGCACACACGAGTTTATCAAAGTGGAAAGCTGTCTCCCCACCCTCGTATTGCTCACACGTCATCGTCTCATTTATTCATCAACAATACTGCTGACTCCCCCTCATCCTGCCTCCATCTCAACCATTGTTCAGCAGTTACTAAGACACTCAAAATGTCAAACAGGACCTATAGTAGACAAGCATTTGATCTCTTATCCTCAGCTATTTTATCTTTTGGGGTTGATAATAGTACCCACCACTCAGAATTATTATGAAGATCAAATAAAGTCAAGTATGTAAAATTACCTTGTAATTTGTAAAAAAAAAAAAAAAAAAGAACAAGAAAAAAGAAAGAAAGAAAAGAAAAAGTAGCACTTTAGAGTTGGCAAAAAAGCGTTTTTATATAGATGACCTCATTTAATATCCTTCATGAGCTTGTGAATTCTGTTACTTTATAGTGGAGGAGAAAACTCTTCGGTATAGGTTGGTGCAAAAGTAATAGTGATTATTATTATTTAAAGATGCAACTACTTCTGCACCAATCTAATAGATTACATTTAAAATGGAAGCCTTTCTTTGACCTTTTGGTCTGGACTATGGCTGTACAGTGTAGCAAAGCAAAAGGAACATGGCGGGGCAACTTTCTAGGCAAACACAGCAGGAGCACTACATTTACTTTAAGGGCCCTGGAAAGAGGACTCCAAATCAGCATTTCTACTCACATTGAAATCCAGGTCTATGTAAGTATTCTTTCACGAATTATTACTTGTTAAATTGCTTAGCTTTCCTACTGTTTCACATTCACCAAAAGCATTGTGATCCAAACATTCAAATCAACGCCCTTTACAGAAATCCTCCTAGGTTGTATCTTAGTCCATTTTCTGTTACTATAACAGAATTCCTACAAGTGGGTAGTTTATAAAGAAAATAGGTTTATGGTCAGGTGGGTGGCTCAGGCCTGTAATCCCAGCATTTTGGGAGGCTGAGGCGGGCGGATCAGGAGGTCAGGAGATCCAGACCATCCTGGCTAACACGGTGAAAGCCCATCTCTACTAAAAATACAAAAAAATTAGCTGGGCATGGTGGCACACATTTGTAGTCCCAGCTACTCAGGAGGCTGAGGCAGGAGAATCGCTTGAACCCGGGAGGTGGAGGTTGCAGTGAGCAGAGATCGTGCCACTGCACTCCAGCCTAAGTGACAGAGCAAGACTGTTTCAAAAAAAAAAAAAAAAAGAAGTTTATTTTGGCTTATGGTTCTGAAGACCAGAAAGTCCAAGATCAGGCGGCTGCATCTGTCCTGCTTCTGGTGAGGGCATTATGCTGCATCATAACATAGTGGGAAAGTGGTAGGGGAAGTGGGTGCATGAGAAGGGGGCAAAACAGAAAGGGGTGGCCTCACTTGATAACAATTTGCTCTTGTATAATAGTAACAAATCAGTCCTGCAAGAGTGAGAATTCACTCATTCCCTCAAGATTTAACCCAGTCCCAAAGAACAGCATTAATCCTCCTTAATGACCTAATCACCTTTTAATGGTCCCACCTCCCAACACCACCACACTGGGGTGGTGAACTGTGGGCACTTTCCAAATTTCCAACACATGAATTCAGGGGGAACACACTCAAATCATAGCAGGTTGTTTCCACTCAGATCACTCTAGTTAGATATTCAGTCACAAATAGCTGAACTACTTTGATCTTTTGGTTTGCCATCAGAAATAATCACCTTGCTATAAACATCCACATCTCAAAGCCGCATACATAAAACTTTTTTCATGTGATATATTTGATATATTTTTTGTATAATTTAGAATTTTCAAGGAATTTTTACTTTGGACCATTCATTAATTCTTTTATCAAATATATTCAGCCTCTTTTAAGAGCAAGTGCTTTCCTGTGGTCTGACGATTCAGAGGTGAGTATAACCAAGTCCTTTGCAGCCCTCACAGGACTTGAAGTTTAGTAGAAGTATCAGTTTTATCTGTCAAGAGACATTCCTCTCCACTCACCTGACTGGCTTAATCACCAGGTTACATACAGCCCTGCCAAACTTGGTAAGTTAAACTAGCTATGAACAAATTGTTACAAAATATTTTAATGCAAACAAAAAAGACTAGAAACACCATTTATTCACATAAGTTTCCTTTGGCATTTGATATTGTTCAAACTAATGAAATCAGCAATGTTCTAAACTTTCATGGACACTTTAACCTTAGTCATTCTCAGATTTGGTCAGCTTTGCAAAATAGCAACTATTGTTAGCATTTACATAAATCATATTAATTAACATGTATTAAGCCTTAACAACATGGCATGTCCTTAACATGGATTAGTTTCCCTAAAATTCATAATAACATTACTTACATGATGAAGGACTAAGATTATCTCCATTTCACAGATGGCAGATATACTGAGTCCTAAGGTGAGAACTTCTCACCAGGTGTAGCCCTTAACATACTATAGAAATAAGCAAAATGTTCCCATGCTTTGATTGATATGGTTTGGATATTTGTCTCCTCCACATGTCATGCTGAATTGTAATTCCCAGTATTGGAGGTGAGGCCTAGAGGGAGGTGTTTGGACTGTGGGGGCAGATCCCTCAAGAATGGCTTAGCATCATCTCCTTGGTGATTAGTAAATTCTCACTCTGAGTTCACGCAAAATCTGGTTGTTGAAAAGCATGTGGCACCTCCCCCCTTTCTTTCTTGCTCCTGTTGTCACCATGTGATGCACCTGCTCCCCTTCACCTTCCATCATGATAATAAGTTTCCTGAAGCCCTCGCCTTGATAATAAGTTTCCTGAGGCCTTCCTTTCCTGTAAAGCCATGCTTCCTTTACAGCTTGCAGAACAATAAGCCAATTGACTTCTTTTCTTTAAATAACCCGGTCTCCAGTATTTCTTCACAGCAATGCAAAAATAGCCTCATACACTGATACACTTATTTTAACTTCACATTTATTGAGCACCTACTATATGTAAATTTCAGTGCTAAATTCTGGAGAATGGAATAAAAATGGAGAGGACACAATGACTACCCTCAAAGGAATTTAAAATCTAATAGAGCATACAAACATGTACAGAAGTAATATAAGTAAACTAAGTGGGCAGAGGCAGTGGCAAGGGGAGTCCTGGATATGGATCGAGAATGGAAATGAGCTGGCCTCAAGGCTTCACATGAGAACACACTTATTGTGGTGAAGTTGATGCTTGAGTACTCTAAATTCCCTTCCCAGAAGCATGGTGAACAGTGTGTAGAGCACCCCTCTGAGTCTTGGACAGGAGAACAGACTGGCTGGAAGGATCCATCCTGAATCTCTCCCAGCATATCTTGTGTCAGTTCTCAGTCCCCTCCCATATCCCTCATCTGCCATCAGGTCTTTCTGCCATGGCCCCACCCACTCAGGCCGCTTGTACTGAGCTTCCCCTTTGACGCTCCCCTTTCCCACCGTCCACCCATGGGAACAGGTTCTCCCCTGTGGAACCCAAGGAACTCTTGCACTTTACAACTTATATTATTCAGGGTCCTCTAGAGGGACATGACTAGCAGGATAGATGTATATATGAAAGGGAGTTTATTAAGGAGTATTGACTCACACAATCACAAGGTGAAGTCCCACAATAGGTCCTCTGCAAGCTGAGCATCAAGAAAGCCAGTATGAGTCTCCAAAGCTCAAAAGTAGGGAAGCCAACAGTGCAGCCTTCAGTCTGTGTCCAAAGGCCTGAGAGCCCCTGGCAAACCACTAATATCGGTCCAAGAGTCCAAAAGCTGAAGAACTTGGAGTCCGATGTTGGAGGGCAGGAAGCATCCAACACAGGAGAAAGATGAAGGCCGGAAGACTCAGCCAGTCTAGTCCTTCCAGGTTCCTCTGCCTGTTTTTTGTCCTAGCTGTACTAGCAGCTGCTTAGATGGTGCTCACTCAGATTGGGGGTGTGTCTGCCTCTCCCAGTCCACTGACTCAAATGTTAATCTCCTTTGTCAACACCTTCACAGACACACCCAGAAACAATACTTTACATCCTTCAATCCAATCAAGTTGACACTCAGTATTAACCATCACACCACTCTAGGGCAGCAGGTCCAGGAGGCATCTCTGCTCCTGGAGAACATCTAGGCATCCTGACTAATCTTAGGTTTGGCTAATTTTCATTGCCTTGGAGACACAATATGCTTCCCCTCCTCTGTAATAATTGTTAGGGAATGAATGGATTTCACAAAAAAAAGTATGTTATAGTTCAGCGTTGATGCAGATGTAATTAGTCAGGTTGAAATTAGGTCATACTAGAGTAGGGTGGGCCCTTAATCCCATATGACTGATGTTCACAGGAAGAAGATGACTATGTGAAAACTGAGGCAGAGACTGGAGTCATGCAGGCACAAGTCAAGGAAGGGGACTACCAGGAGCTGGCAGCAGTAAGGAAGGATTCTGCCCTAGAGACTTCAGAGGACCATGGCCCAGCCAACAGCTTGATTTCAGACCCATAGCCTCCATAACTGTAAGAGGGTAGATTTCTGTTGTTTTAAGCAATCAAGTTTGTGGTACAGTACTTTGTTACAGCAGCTCTGGAAATTAACATCATAACTAAGGGACACAATGGGTAGGAATTCCAGAAAAGATATAGAGAGAAAGTAGTGCCATCAAATGTAGGAATGGGAATGTTGTGTTGCATTAAATATTAAAGGTTATATATGCTACCTTTTTGCTGGCATCCTCTACAGTGAGGGTTCTTGAGGCATACCCCAAACCCATTGAGAATGATTCCATTTGGGCTGTGAGACCTCAGGATCGAGACAAGGAAACATTTTAATCATCAGGGTTACTCATGGTCTCCAAAATATTGTGTGATCTCATCCATAGAGTCCCCCTCTCTCAACTCAGCGCACACCAGTGGGATAGACCAGTCCTGCTATAAGGGAGCAAGAGCTCAAGGCAAGAGTTCAAGTCTTTGCTTCTACACAGAACCTTGATATAACTTTAAGCACCCTGCAGGCATCTTACATTCTACTCCAGAATCCACACTGGTGGGCCCAAGCTCTGTGCATGGAGCTAGAGACACAGAGATGAGCAAGTGACAGCCCCTCTCCTCAAGCTCACAGGCTGTTTGCAGACATAGGTAGATGTGCAAATGGCTTCAGCACATAGCCTGTCCCATTAAAGAGGTAAAATTCAATGTTAGAACCACAAAGAAAAGGTGTACCTAACCTACTTACAATGTGCTTCTGCACTGTGATGTGATGAGGGTGAGCACTACAGAGCCTTTAAATCACTTTTAAAGAGCTCCTCTGGCAAAGTGAGGGAGGTGAGGTGAGAGGAGGAAGGTGAGATGGGGTGTGCAGAAGTGATGGGGGGCAAGATGAGGCAAGGGGTGTTGGAGATTGTGTTGGTCTTGCTTTCAGAAGAACAGGGGTCATACTCTAGTTTTGAATAAATCACTTAACATTCTAAGATCCTCAGTCTCCCTAGTTAAAATGGGACTTAAAATGATAGCAAATAAAATCTGCCATGAGTATCAAAAGAGATGATGGTGCAAAACAATTTTGGAAAGGTAAATGCCACCTAATGGATAGATTTTTTATATTCAGAGAATGTTGTTTCCAGGTTATCATTATCAATCATTGCTTCTCCACCCCCACCCCAGCTTACAGAATAGGAACATAGTATATAATAAGTACTTTTGGCACACAGTCATATCATAAGGCAAAAAAAGACTTCCATGACAAAAATATGGTTACATTTATATGTCGTTCATATAAATCAACCAAATCCAATGTGTCTGCAAACAGGGACAATCAAGTCCAAGACAGCTAGGGATTTAAAAAATAATAATGAAATATGAAAAAGCTTACAGTGCATGTCATGTGTACAGTAGGAATTCAGAGAAGGAAAGGACCTTTAAAGCAGGACAAACTAAAGAAATCAGAAAAGAGACAATGTGAGGTTGAATTTTAAGTTTCTAGAAGAAGAAATTATGACTGAATCATGTTTCTATCCCTAGAATATAACACTATACCTTACACAGTAGCCACACAATTAATATTTGTAGAAGGGAGGAAGGGAGGGAGGGAGGGAGGGAGGGAGGGAGGGAGGAAGAGAGAGAGGGAGGGAGGAAGAGAGAGAGGGAGAGAGGACGGAAGGAAGAAGGAAGGAAGGAAGGAAGAAAGAAAGGAAGGGAGGGAGGGAGGAGAGGAAAAAAGAGTAAGAGGAGTAAGAGAGAATAGACTTGGATTGATAGAAAAGAGGAGAAAGTGTTAACGTAGGAAAAGAAAATTGAGTGAGAAGAGGGGACGAGGTAGAAAAAAGCAGGAGGCAGTAAAGACACCGATTTGACTATCATTTCCATTTGATTTGAGGACTAGGAGTAGATCAATAAGAAGCTGTAACACAAAGAAAAAGCCAGACCCTTGGAAAAAAAGAAAGAGGCTTTAACCTGCACAATTTCCCTCCTAGGTCTACTCATTGAAAATAGCAGGGATCCCAGTTTGAGCTTCAGCTCTGAGAAACCCAGATCTCAAGCCTGTCTTCTTATGTCTGGAGTGAGCCAGGTTGAGAGATCCTGGGATGCTTCCTAGGGAGGGGGAGGAGGGCATATTCCTCTGGGAAGAGGCCAGGAATGTACAAGGAAAGACAGACATAGGGAGCTGTATACATTCTCCTCAAACAGAGTCCTGCAGGGAGCAAGAATTGTCATGGGCCCTCCGCGCCTGACGCTATTCTGTGAGCAGGAGGACACCCATGAAAATGTTAATCTCTAGTCTGAGAGCAATGTCTCACTCAGAGGAAAGCATTTACAGTGTGGGCACCAACATTTATGGTGACAGAAGATGTGTCCTCTGCTGAGATCTCCCCCTCAGTGGGCACCAGCATTATGGGGAAACAGAAGACATCTTCTACCCAGGCCTCGCCCAGTAGGCAGCAGTCTCAAAGATAGCATTGCCGGTGAGTGACAGGGACAGAGTAGCCACGCACTGTTTCCCAGGAAACAGGAACATCATCACAGCAAGCTGGATCACAAAAGGAGGAAAATGCTGGACATGCTTGATGGTGAGTAAGACTACAGAGCATGAGACACTCCCTGAGGGCTCCTAGGATTACTGGAAAGTAATTTGCCATGGGTTGTAAGTCCCTCTGAATGCACTGCAACAGACCTTCAAGAAAAGAAAAAAAAAAAAATACTGCTTTATAGCTGTTATCCTGACTCCCAGTATTCTGATCTGGGAAATGTGGGGTACACAAGCAATACAAATGAACTCCTGCCAGGGCAGATTTGACCTCGAATCTGAGCTCTCCAAGACCCTGACATCAGCAGGCCTCAGAGAAGATATCTCTCCCACTGCTTGCTACAGCTGGTATCAGATAGCGTAAAGAGACAGCCAGCCCCAAAGAGTCAAAAACAAGAGCTGCAATTAAACAGTCTGGGGAATATAGACATTTTCCTTGAGGCAAGTCACAAGATACTCTACAACAGAATACAGCTGCTCAAATAAACTCATCCTCATTTCAAAATCTCCACTGGCAGAGTTCTACCATGTGGACCAATCAAGTTTAAAAAAAAAAAATCTGTACTAAGAAAAAAAGAATTAAGTGCGTGTGCCTTGTTTTTTAAAACAATAACAAGAAAGGGTAGGAAGGCAAATTGCACTAAATGCTAGGTGATTACCAAGAGTGACCCTGGTTATATGAGATTTTGGCTTAGTAGGGAAAACGCATGCAATTACGAGACAATGAGAAAGACCAGCACTCCTCAGGATATGGAGTCATAAAACGAGGCATTGCCCTTACTCGGCCTTAAATGACTTTGCCAGGAGATAAGACATAATTTGCAGAACGGTGTTTGTAAATGTTTACATTTTTGTAACCCAATTGCCGTTTGTTTCAAAATTATATGCATTCCACGTTATTGCTTTTGGTAGATTTTTACCTTTAGTTCTATAAAACAATGGCTGACTTCCTTTTTTAAAGATTCAAGTTATCTTGAATTCACTTCAAGGTATTGATCTTAATGTTCGCTTGAGAGGTCCAAGATAGAAATATTGCATCTAAATTTTTAAAACACTTGACTCTTAGTTTGAAACAATAATAGAATGAACCCTGAGAACACGATTTGGATCAAATCTAGACAGAAAGAAAAACATCCCTTTAGCTAGCGAAATTCTGTATGAGCAAAGAATTATTCTTTTTTTTTTTCTTTTTGGTGTCTTCAAGAGCAGCAGACTCCCTTTGGTATGACTTGACCTCACAGACCTCTTCTGTCATGCGCTAGTGCTCTTTGGTTGCAGAGAAATGCTGTTTTCTGGAGTCTTTAACTCCTTTTCTGGCCATCATCCCAGAAGTATTGATCACCTTCAGTCATTGTCCTATTCTGCCTCAGAATGGCGCCAGAGTGATTCCTAAAACCCAAATGTTATTTTGCCTCTACTGCTTAAACTCCTGTGGCCGTTCCCTATCTTCCCCAGATGAAAAAGCTCAATATCCTTAGAAAGGCTGGAAGGACCAGCCCAGCTGGTGCTGCCTGGCTTCCATCTCCCCGTGAGAAAACGGAGAGCTGTCTGGTACAAGAGCTTGCGAGGTCACCACTAACTGATGACAGCCATTTCCAAAAAGACTCGCATTGCATGGAACTGTGCTGGGTTTGTGATTTAAATGTTCTCTGTCAGAGCTTCTGCATTCCCTTCAATGAAAGCCAAAAGTTATCCTTTTCGGGTTCACTTTGAAAAATACTACTAGAATGCTATTTCTAACATATTAATTATTTGAAAACTTCAGTGGCAGTTGAAGGCAGGTAGCTAATGACAGTGCTCAGAGAGCCTTTCCAACTCATTTGGAAATAAAGTAAACGGCTTTCTTTGTTTCACTTCCTTCATCTGATCAATTTCAGCATAGTGTTTGTTCTGCTTAATCCCAACATATCTGGTTTCTTTTCATTGTTTTCTACCAGGCGGTATTTCCTAGATCATGACTATCATTCTGACTCTGATATTTTACTAGCTTTAAAGGGCCCTGTCTCACTGAAGAGCTGTAGCTAGTGCTTTTATACCTTCCTGTGGTCATCAGGCTCTCAGCAGAAAAAAAATTCTGTGGGAGGCCTCTTTCTTCTGCTGCTCTAGGTGTTTTCTCTGCAGACTATACTTTCTGGCTCTAATAATTCCTACAAAGATAGCAAAAGACCCAAAGCCCTAGCATCTCAAGACTTTGCTCTGGCATGCAGAGCCAGCTGTAGAGTAAGACTGGCTTCACTGGCCCCTTTGCTGCTGTGGTGGTGGTCCTTGCCCAGCAAGTGGGCACTGCTCCAAAATCAATTGAGGTGTATGACTTGGTGTCTCTTGATGTCGCCAAGATCTAGAAACCCTATAAGGATGACTCAGCCCTGGCACAGGGGCCCCCCAAGGACCGGCCTCAGTGCCCATTAGCTTTGCAGCCCCAACCCTAGAGTGCCCTGCTCCTGCACCAGACGCTCTCTTGGGAATGTGAATCTGAGGTTCTTGCAGGCTCAGCTCATGGTTAGGGATGCCTATTCTTCCATTTTGACCTGTACACAGACAAAGGTCATTGTTATTTTTAGTAAAAAGCATTTTATTTTGAAATAATTTTGAATAGAACTATTTCATTACTCCATCAAAATTATAAAATCAATGTATCAGTCAGTAAAAATATATTTGAATATATTGTATAATTATAGTTATTTTAACACCCCCTTCCATCTCAAAAGTATTGCAGTATGGGACCCAAAATTCCATGGTCACTTTATGTGATGATGAGCGATAAGAAGAGCAGAGACCTAAATTCATATGAAGAGCAAAGTCCATTGCATTAGTCTGTTCTCACACTACTAATAAAGCCATACCCGAGCCTGGGTAGTTTATAAAGGAAAGAGGTATAATGGACTCACAGTTCCACATGGCTGGGGAGGCCTCACAATAATGGCAGAAGGCAAAGGAGGAACAAAGTCACATCTTGCATGGTGTCAGGCAAAAGAGAGCATGTGCAAGAGAGCTCCCATTTATAAAACCATCAGATCTCATGAAACTTATTCACTATCACGAGAACAGCACAGGAAAGACCCGCCCTCATGATTCAATTACCTCCCACTGGGTCCCTCCCACTATACCTGGAAATTATGGGAGCTGCAATTCAAGATGAGATTTGGGTGGGGACACAGCCAAACCGTATCACCCATCTTTCCCCCTTTGTCACAGGGTCATTGCAGTCAACCAACAATCCTTAAAGGCAATTCACACCAACCCAACACTTAGCCACAGCAAACAAACTGCATAGTGTACAGGCAGAAGGTAGTGAAGTAGTGCTTTCTTGGTCACTTGCAGGTCACAAGGGGTGTAAGAATGGGACCCAGGATGCCCCATGATCCTCGCCCTCCTCTGAGGGGAAGCTCCAAAGGCACAAGGAGCTGTGGATCTGACCAGGACCTGCCTCAGGCCTGAGAGGAAACTGATTCATTGATGGAAAATTTCCAGGTCCTGGCCAAGCAAGAGAAACCAGTTCACACAGCTTTGATAACCAGTGGGGCAGCGTGCACCCACAGGACAAGTGCCACTGACACAGGACAGAGCAGGGATACACCGAGAAACTCCAGGGCTCGTCCCCAACATCAGAAAACACTCCCAGGACAGACAGATACCTCTTGGGGTAAAGAAAAGGGAGGAGAGCAAGCACGAAGGCCTAAATTCTATCAAACTAGGTATAAACTATATGCCACCTTTAGCTATTTGTTTTCTCCTCCACTATCTTGATCAGATTACTTATTTTTCCAAGCACATCTGGGTGTAATGCATGTAAATTCACAACCCTACTACACAAGTGGCCTCATATATGTGTGTGTGTGTGTGTGTATGTGTGTGTGTATATATATGTGCATGTGTGTGTGTGTGTGTGTGTGTGTGTGTGTGTGTGTATATATGATACATATACAGGTAACTTCTGAAGCTTCTTCTTCAGGATGAAATTTATTAACTAGCTCTTCTAAGTGTTACCAGGTCTAGATCAGAGAATTTCTCCCAGCTGTGGCTCAGGGAAGTTAGAGGGTGTGAGAGTTCCGGGGGTCTGTGGACTGTAGTACAGAGAGTGGAAGAAAGAGAGAAAGGACCCCCTGAGATTAAATATGGGAGAAGGGTGTTAAAAGAAGAGGTAAGAGAAACTACATCTACATTTCCTACTGTCAGTCCTGTTAAATATTAACAAGGGCTTTCTTTTTAATTATCATATGTTATAAATGTGAAACTGGGCATTGAGGAAATGATTTGAAATGTTTCCAAATGCTGAACAGTAAGAGCTTTCAGGTGCAGAGTCTATGGGCCCAGATACCTTTAGGGATTACTGCATGTGCTGTTTGGTTTTGTGCTGCAACACAAATATATCTCGCACCCAAGAGTCTTCCAAGAATTTAAAAACTTCAGATCGTACACATCACTGTCTCAAGTGTAAAATTATCATGCCCTACGCCCGATCTCTCCCTCTCACTCTCTTACTCTGATGGCAATGTGGGGAGTATGAGAGACATGTGCTAATCTGTTTGGGGAATAAGGGAAAGGTGTTGGAAAAACAGAGAACGTATTCCCTGGGAAACTATTTGAGTTCCACTAAGCAGAAACATGTACAAACTCACTTCTAATTCACTCTGAAGTAGTGCATTTCAATTCCCTTGTACAATACAGAAACACAAAATTGGAATATGTGTCCCAGCAAGAGCTCTCTTTTGAGTGCTTAGGCCAAAGACAGTGAAATTTACCCAACAACTACATGCTATAAATCATAGTCCACAGAACACATAGTTCTTGCCTGCCGATTTTCTTTTCAAAAGAAAAAAGATTATTGTGCTTTATCCACAAAACTAAAATTCTATGAGAATTTAGAAGAAAGAAAAAACACAGCCACACACAGTGGCTCATGTCTGTAATCCCAGCACTTTGGGAGGTCAAGGTGGGAGGATCACTTGAACCCAGGAGTTCAATACCAGCCTTGGCAACAGAGTGAGACCTCACATCTAAAAAAAATAAAAATAAAAATAAAATCTGAGCACAGTGGTGCACATCTGTGGTCCCAGCTTCTTGGGAGGCTGAGGCAGGAGAGAATCACTTGAGACCAGGAGGTGGAGACTGCAGTGACCCATGACCATGCCACTGCACTCCAGCCTGGCCAACAGAGTGAGATCCTGTCTCAAAACAAAAACAAAAACAAAAACAAAACAGAAACAAAACAAATGTATGTTCCCTAGCTCACTCTTTTATTCCATGTCTCAATTCTTCTCCATCAACACCATCCTCATCAAAGCTAAAAAACCTCAACATTACCTTTGGCTCTTACCTCTCCTTGAGCCCACTACCTGACCATCCTTCCCAGACAGTCTTTTCTTCTGTTCCTATTGCCATTTCCGAAGCATGGATCTCATCAGGATCTTACCCAGCTGTCTCCCTCTCTTTATCGCCCTCCTCTTCAATCCTTAGTCTCTCCCCAGGATAATCAGCCCTCATTCATCCTTTCTGTAAACAGCCTCTGGAGCAATCTGCTCACACACAGCTCAGCTGTACCCCTCTTCTGCTCAGGATCTTGACATCTTCCCAGGCTTACACAACAAACACCATAGAGGCATCTAATGGCCTTCATGACCTGCCCCTAATTTTCCGTGCTACTTGTTTCTTGCCCTACACCTTTGGGAAAATCTTCTGCTGGACTGACATCAGACAGTCAACAGAGTTATTCAAACACCTTCCCATTTTCAACTCTTTGCCCTGCATTTTTTTCCTCAAATGTCCTTTGCTCTACCTCTCCAGCCCTAAACAGATTGAGACTTCTTGAACTCTTACCCATATGGCAAACTCAGCTCCAAGAAATCTCCTTCATGATCTTTATTTTTATTTATCTGGTTGAAATTAATATCCCCATTCCCCAGGCCCTCATACTTTCTGTACCTCCCTGTCTACATGTATCACTTTCTGCCCTGTAATATAGATAACTGGGTTCTGCAGCCTCTTAATTTGCTTAGGAATTCTACGAATATTCCAGAAGTCACATCACTATTTTGAAGAAAAGAGAGTAGAAGTAGTCAATAGTTGTCAATACAACTAAAAAATACTTTGGTTTTCAGTCAGTATCAGCAACATAGAGCTACTGTGGACCAACAGGCTTCCAGATAACTGATATTTTAACCTTCTGGATGCCAAAGATCTCAAGTACTTTTCAATAGTTTAATGGTTTCCCAACTTCCCTTTCTTGGTGAGCAGAGTATAGGGCTTCTACCCAGAGCAGACTGGGTCTTCCAATCCACCATGTTTTCTGAAGACTTCTGCCTTTGCACACACTAGCCATCCCCTCTACATGGAATGCAATGATTCACCTTCTCTAGTTGCCAAACTTCTATTCCTCCTGCTCACCTCAAGTGTTCTGTGACGTCATCTCTGATATGCTCAGGCAAAGTCATTAATTCCCTCCTCCATCACGCAAGTAATCTTTTCTTATTACTGTTTTAGCACTTAGCATTTATCTTGCAATGCTACCATTTTTTCTGTACACATCAATAAATTGAAGATTTCTTGCACAGTGGGTCTGAAGATCATCTCTCTGTACATAAAAGTATCAGAGATAAGTACATTGTGTGTACATAGTAAATATTTAGAAATATTTATTACATAAATATATGACATATTATCACTAGTGAAAGTTAGTTATTGTCTTCTTAATGGTGTCATTGAGAGTTATGTCCTACTTGCTTCTATGCTGAGTTTACACAGAATGGTATGCGTTTCTACTCAGTGTTTTCTTTTCTCCTCCCCTGTGAATATCCTTTTTTGCTTTATAATTTAGGTCAGTATAATCATTGTCCTTTTCTACTTTTATTGACCCCGGTTTCTATTCTCGGCTACTTTCTTCCTGCTTCCCATTTTAATACATCTCTTATCCTCTCTCTCTTGTTTTTATGAATTCTTAAAGATTTCTTGGCTTAATGTATTTCTTGAGTTGGCATATTTCTTTATTTGCTTTCCATATCTGTCATGTGCCATCTTTCTGCAGGCAAAATTATGATTGATCAAATCATATTCAAAATATCCTTTCCTTTCTATTCCACTGCATCCACCTTTGCTCTAATTCTTCCTTTGCACACCTAAGTTACTGCAATGGCCATCTAACATCTCCATCTGCATCCAGTTACTCCCTCTTCTAATCAGACATATGTATCACGACTAAGTTACTCTTCCTAAAACACTAATTTCCCTGTATTCATCCTATGCACAACAGCCTTTGATTTCTCTTTGCCTACATTCTGGCATTCAAAGTTCTCACAATCTGGTCACATCCTGTCTCTCATTTTACTTCCCATTTCTCCAAAACATGTAGTGGGTTATTGTGGTAATTGGCTCCAAAGATGTTCCACTGTACAACCACACCGGTATTCATATCCTTGTGTGACCTTTTGTCTCTGGGCTGGGCCTATGACTTGATTTTTACCAATGGACTGTGATGGAAGTGAAGCGGAAGGACTTTGGAGGATAGGTCAGAAGACGCCTTGCAGTAACTTAGGCTTCAATTTTCAGGAAGGCTGCTTCTCTTCTTAAGACTGCTCTGATTCCATCCTAGTCCAAACCACAACTTCTCTCCTAGGTCCCATGAACACAAGAAAAAAGATCCTTTTTGTCTTGTCTTTCCAAACGTAATGCCAGAGCTCAGGAAAAATGCAACTCAAGATGCCATCTGATTTCCTGTATAGTACAGATTGACAATCTCTAATCTGAAAATCCAAACTCTGAAATATTTCAAAATTCAATGAGGGCCAACATGATGATGATGTTGTTGGTGACACTGCAGAAAAAGTGCCTGCAGATAACATGGTGAAAATGTGTAATGAGCTTATTGAAGGACTAGAGCAGCATGCATTCATAACAGAACAAGATGTCATGTCAGCTCACGAAATCAAAGAGAGACTTCTCAGACAAAAACTTTCGTTAATGAGGCAGATGACTCCGGAGGAAACATTTTAAAAAGCCATCCAGCGGAAGGTCTCCTCATCCCTAAAGGATTCCCTTCCTGGTCCTGCAACTGCCTCTGATGCTTTTTCTCACCTAAAAAAAAAAAACTACAGTGGACAGTAACCTCTTAATCAAAACACAGCCTCACAGGTGGAGACCAAAACCCGGCGTTGTTTGTTGTTGCTGTTGTTAGCAGCTAATTCAGGTATTCTGGTGGTGCTACTCTGCTGCATAGGTACCCTGAACACATTAATACACCTGTATTAATGGTATTTATTGGTATTTCTGAGTGAATAAGTGTAAGAAAATTATTGCTTATTAGAGGTATATAAATTTAATCAGGAATAATGGTGATGCCAAACAACCACAGACTGCCTGTGTGAGTGGCTGAGATAATGACACCTTTGCTTTTTGATGACATTTGTGACACATTTGTACACAAAGTCTGTTTATGCACAAAATAATTTTAAAACATTCTATAAAATTACCTTCAAGCTATGTGTATAAGTTGTATATGAAACATAAATGAATTTCATGTTGAGACTTCGGTCCCATTCCTCACGATATCTTATTATATGTATGCAAAATCCCAAAATCCAAAAGAATACAAAATCTAAAACAGTTGTAGGCCCAAGCATTTCAGATAAGGGCAACTTAACTTGCAATACAGTTGTCCCTTGTATCAATTGGGGATTGGTTCTAGGACCTCCCACAAATATCAAAATTTGTGGAGATCAAGTC
This sequence comes from Homo sapiens, assembly GCF_000001405.40. Classification (NCBI taxonomy): domain Eukaryota; kingdom Metazoa; phylum Chordata; class Mammalia; order Primates; family Hominidae; genus Homo; species Homo sapiens. The sequence continues at coordinate 79,234,411 of NC_000013.11, forward strand.
CCTCTTGTAAAATTGTGTAATATTTGCATATAGCCTATGTACATTCTCCTGTGTACTTTAACTCACCTCTAGATTACTTACAATATCTAATACAATGTAAATGCTATGTGAATAGTTGTCATACTGTATTGGTTTGTATTTGTATCATTTTTATTGGGTTTTTCCCAAATATTTTTGATCTGATGTTGGTTGAATTCGCAGTGGCAGAACACACAGATATGGAATGCTGCCTGTAATTGGTGCACAGATCACACCTAGAAAGTAACTTCTTGGCCAGATGTGGTGGCTCATGTCTGTAATCCCAGCATTTGGGGAGGCTGAGGTGGATGGATCACCTAAGATCTGGAGTTCAAGACCAGTCTGGCCAACATGGTGAAACCCCATCTCTATTAAAAATACAAAAAATTAGCTGGGCGTGATGGCCAGCACCTGTGATCCCAGCTACTTGGGAGACTGAGCCAGGAGAATCACTTGAACCTGGGTAGTGGAGGTTGCAGTGAGCCAAGATCACGCCATTGTACTCCAGCCTGGACAACAAGAGTGAAACTCCATCTCAAAAAAAAAAAAAAAGAAAAAGAAAAAGAAAAAGCAAGCAAGAAAGAAACTTCTCCTAGCCTTAGTTTACTCATCTAGTTGTACTGAATCATTGCAAATTCTCAGATTGTTGATCCATAAAATTAGGTCTTGCAAATTGCCTTCTCCAGCTTCAGATCTTAACTAGTTCAAATCTCATTCCCCTCCTCAGACTTCTGCTTCCCGTCAAAATGAAGTAACAGACCAGATTTACCATCTTATCTGAACCAACCAAAAATGGACAAAATATATGAAACAAATGTTGTCAAGACATCCACCATCAGACAGCTACAGATGACAATCCCTGGGAGACAGAAGACAAATGAAGTGGGCTCTGTGATCATTCTAGTTTACTGCCTTGAGAGAGTTTTGAAGTCACAGCACACAGAAGAGGAACCCAGGCCTAGCCTAGTGTACTCTCTGAGCTAAGGAGATGGAGCTGGGAATTCAGGGAAACTAAGGAGCCTAGAGCTAGAAGACAAAGTAAAAGGGAAGAGAGAGTTGCACAAAGGAAGAACCCCCAGCGATTTGCAGGTGGTCCTGCTTGAGTATCCAGCTGACACGGATCAGCATATACATGTGAGAAAACCAAAATAAAATCAGATAGCCATGTATACCATACACAAATATCAATTCCAGGTAAATTTAATAAAATAAATTGCATATGAACTTTAAAGTAGTTTTTTCCAGTTCTGTGAAGAAAGTCATTTGTAGCTTGTTGGGGATGGCATTGAATCTATAAATTACCTTAGGCATTATGGCCATTTTCATGATATTGATTCTTCCTACCCATGCGCAAGGAATGTTCTTCCATTTGTTTGTATCCTCTTTTATATCATTGAGCAGTGGTTTGTAGTTCTCCTTGAAGAGGTCCTTCACATCCCTTGTAAGTTGGAAAAAAGAGCCCGCATTGCCAAGTCAATTCTAAGCCAAAAGAACAAAGCTGGAGGCATCACACTACCTGACTTCAAACTATAATACAAGGCTACAGTAACCAAAACAGCATGGTACTGGTACCAAAACAGAGATATAGACCAATGGAACAGAACAGAGGCCTCAGAAATAATGCTGCATGTCTACAACTATCTGATCTTTGACAAACCTGACAAAAACAAGAAATGGGGAAAGGATTCCCTATTTAATAAATGGTGTTGGGAAAACTGGCTAGCCGTATGTAGAAAGCTGAAACTGGATCCCTTCCTTATACCTTACACAAAAATTAATTCAAGATGGATTAAAGACTTACATGTTAGACCTAAAACCATAAAAACCCTAGAAGAAAACCTAGGCAATACCATTCAGGACATAGGCATGGGCAAGGACTTCATGTCTAAAACACCAAAAGCAATGGCAACAAAAGCCAAAATTGACAAATGGGATCTAATTAAACTAAAGAGCTTCTGCACAGCAAAAGAAACTACCATCAGAGTGAATGGGCAACCTACAGAACGGGAGAAAATTTTTGCAATCTACTCATCTGACAAAGAGCTAATATCCAGAATCTACAATGAACTCAAATCTACAAGAAAAAAACAAACAGCCCCATCAAAAAGTGGGCGAAGGATGTGAACAGACACTTCTCAAAAGAAGACATTTATGCAGCCAAAAGACACATAAAAAAATGCTCATCATCACTGGCCATCAGAGAAATGCAAATCAAAACCACAATGAGATACCATCTCACACCAGTTAGAATGGCAATCATTCAAAAGTCAGGAAACAACAGGTGCTGGAGAGGATATGGAGAAATAGGAACACTTTTACACTGTTGGTGGGACTGTAAACTAGTTCAACCATTGTGGAAGTTAGTGTGGCGATTCCTCAGGGATCTTGAACTAGAAATACCATTTGACCCAGCAGTCCCATTACTGGGTATACACCCAAAGGATTATAAATCATGCTGCTATAAAGACACATGCACATGTATGTTTATTGCAACACTATTCACAATAGCAAAGACTTGAAACCAAGCCAAATGTCCAACAATGATAGATTGGATTAAGAAAATGTGGCACATATACACCATGGATTACTATGCAGCCATAAAAAATGATGAGTTCATGTCCTTTGTAGGGACATGGATGAAGCTGGAAACCATCATTCTCAGCAAACTATCGCAAAGATAAAAAACCAAACACCACATGTTCTCACTCATAAGTGGGAATTGAACAATGAGAACACATGGACACAGGAAGGGGAACATCACATACTGGGGCCTGTTGTGGGGTGGGGGAGAGGGGAGGGATAGCATTAGGAGATATACCTAATGTTAAATAACGAGTTGATGGGTGCAGCACACCAACATGGCACATGTATACATATGTAACTAACCTGCACGTTGTGCACATGTACCCTAAAACTTAAAGTATAATAAAAAATAAAATAAAATAAAATAAATTCAAGAAGCAAAATGTTAAAGCTTTGAGAGGAAAATAAAGAATATCTCTATCACATCAAGGTAGAGAATTTTTCTTAAACAAGACACAAAAAAACACTAACCATAAAGGAAAAGATTAATACCTTTGTGTACATTAAAATTAAACTTTCTGGACTACAAAAGACAACATATAAAAAGTGAGACTGGGTCAGGCACGCTGGCACACACCTGTAATTCTAGCACTTTGGAAGGCCAATGGTGGCGGATTGTTGAGCTCAAGAGTTCCAGGCTAGCCTGGGCAACAAAGTGAAATCTCATCTCTATAAAAAATACAAAAACCAGCTGGGCATCGTGGTGTACACCTGTAGTCCCAGCTACTCAGAAGGCTGATGTGGGAGGATGGCTTGAGCCCAGAGGTAGAGGTTGCAGTGAGCTGAGATCACACCACTGCACTCCAGCCTGGGCAACTGGATATGTGGGGGAATAAAATCCCACATATCTATTTTTAAAAAATACAGCAACCTAATAACAAACTGTGGACTAAAGATATAAATAGTCAGTTTTAGAAGAGAAATAACAAATGGGCAGTGTGTGTGTGTGTGTGTGTGTGTTCAAATTTCTCAGGAAAATAAAACCACTTTCACACCCACCTCATAGATTTCTCAACGATCACAGAGCCCATTTCATTTGTCATTTATTCATTCAGCACAGATGTATTGGGTCACTCCTAGCTACACAGCTCTGTTAGGCACACAGAAACATTAAAAAGGTAAATAAATGACCATTGTTTTATTTACCTTCTCTGCTAGCATGAGAACTCGAAGAGGTCAGGGACTGCTTCTTGTTCTTCATTGGATCTTCCACACATAATACATTCCTGGCATCAAGTACAAAGATGATGCAACTCCTGCTTTGAGGATCTGGAAATGTGAGGAGGAGGACGAGGCAAGAAAGTAGCAAAGCCCAATACCTCTCGGGCATGCCTGGGAGTGTCCATGAGGAGCTAGATTTTGAAGGACATATAGAAGTCCACCAGTACTTTGGTTACACTCTTTATATAAAGAGTCACATCGGAAATGGGCCTCAAAAAATGTTTTCCCTAACACAGCTTCTTTCTTTTCAAATTAGCACAGAATATTTACCATATTATAAAACGCACACACACACACACACACACACACACACACACACACACAAAACCTAGTCTCAAATAACTAATTCCCTGGTAGTAAATAGCTTCAACTACAAAATGCCAGAAAAAGGAGAAGAAAGAGGAGGAGGAAGAGGGAAAAAAAGAGGAGGAGGAAGAAGAATCAAAGCCATCTATATCCACACAACTTACCATGTATTATGTTAACGTTGCTTCACTACTAGCTATCTTTACTCCGGTTAACATTGTTTTATTACTTCCTGTCTTCAATGACTTTACTAATTCAGAAAACTCTTGCCCAAGAAGATAAAAAAAAGTTGCAGGTAACTTTATTGTTAGTTTCAGCAACTTCCTAGAAATCCCAGTTAAGCGAACATCTAACTGTTCACCTCTTCAAAAGACTGCTTACTCCCCAAGATCCTTCAAAACTCTCAACTCTACCAATTTTAAACTACTATATGATAATCATTATTCAGTCCCAATTAACATCACTCTCCTACACTCCCCTAAGCCCTAGCCCTCCAAACTCCCCAATCTCCACTACCCCTCAGCTTGAAAAGACCTGTCTTAAGCCAGACTTCCTGATTTTACCATGCCACTCAATACTAGTGCTCTGTGGGGTCCTACAATTAAACTAGGATGCAATAAGAATAAACTCAGCCTTTTCTTATCAACAAGTTGTTTTGGTGATATTTTTGAAGTGCCAGTATTACATTATCATCATCACTATCACTAACAAGGATTGAGCTCTGACTACATACCAGGTAATTGCTAAATGCTTTAAATACCTGATAATCACATTCTGTACAGGAAGTATTTCTAAACAAATAATTAAATTATGGAATATATATTCAAATGAGATTTTATAATACCTTTCAAAGAGGAAGTTTGTATTTTCTGCTGTCCTTCTTCATAAAGATTAAGCCAAATGGACCCATGTCTAAAAGATACTCTGGGGCAGATTTCCTTGGTGCGTATTACCGGAAGTCATCGTGATTATAGTGGCATTGGCCTTCATAGCTCAGCTTCATTGAGTTCTATTAAAAGAATCCCAGCAATGGAAATAAATGTGCCTCTTATTTCAACATTAAAGACAAGTGACCTTCTCAAAGAAAATATTAGCTGATGAAATAAATAAAGAAGGTGTTGGAAACATGAACAAAATAAAGGTAGGGAATTTCAGAAAGAGAAACGCCTGGATTTAGCCCTTCACCTCCAAATAAAGAATAATAGATATTTCCTTGGCAAACTGAGCGAAGAAAATGGGATGACGGAGCTTCCCAACTAAAATAACATCAACTATATATTGTAATTTCGCTTTTGCAACACCACGCTTCTGACTTGGTGGCACTGCCCGTAAAAATTCATTTTCAAGAAGCCCACCGGAACAGCCTGGGTCTTTGCCTTAATTCACTTTTCCTGGTAAGAGCCAAGAGGAGAGGTAGCCTTATCTAAGAACAGACGGCAGTGCGCTCCATCGGAGGAAGCTGAATACTAAATTAATCATGTTCTGGCTAGAATTTGCAATTCTTTGAGAGATGCTCAAGTATGAAAAATTTAAAGGTAACAAGGAAAGAAGGAGAGAGGTTGTGAAGCAGAAAGCTTCAGAGGGCACTTTAAATGTGAAAGATGCATTATAGTTTCTCACACATGAACAAGATAGCTTGCCTTATCCAGAATGCTATACATAAGCACTGTATTCTCATAGATGTGCCCTGTGAAGGGAGCTATCGTCCTGGAACACAGAAATTTCAGATTCAATGGTCATTTTCAGCGATTAGTATTAATATGAAGCCCATCCATCTGAAACTAGCATTAATTGGTCAAAACCACATGCACGGATAATGTCAGTACAAAATGACATGCTCTGCTTAAGGGGATCCCGGCACTTTTGCATAGATGAGTTTAAGAAGTTTTTTATTATTTTTTAAAATGTATACCTCCCCCTTTGTTTCTACTGTTCTCAAACTAGTTTTCTTTCTGTGTTCCTAGGATCCCCACTTTGCACTGCATACTTCACCATTGGTCTGCTGCATAAATGTAGCCAAATAGCAGGAGAATGGCGTGAACCCGGGAGGCGGAGCTTGCAGTGAGCCGAGATCGCGCCACTCCACTCCAGCCTGGGCGACAAAGCGAGACTCCGTCTCAAAAAAAAAAAAAAAAAAAAAAAAATGTAGCCAAATAGGGTCTCTTCTGTAGTTTCTTCATCTCAAAAATTAAACAATAATCCTGACCCATTATAAATTAAAGCCATGAGGGATTTTTCTGAGATCACTTTCCCTAAAGTTACTTCTGATATTTGAAGTGTTTTTTTAAAAAAAGGAATAGAAAAACAAATGCCCTAACTAAAATAACAAGAAACTCATAAATGCAGTGCCATTTAGCGCAATATTCCATGACAATTATAAGTTTTTAAAAAAACTGTTCTGCTCTCCCGAAGACACTCAGGTAATATCCTTCCAGGACTATTCCATTATACCTTATTCTCAATCCCAACCACATCTCTTTCTACTGATGCTGAAATTTCCTTTGTTGTGGTGGAAAATGGCTTTCCTGATAACCGTAGAAGAGGGAACAACGTCAAACTTCATCTCTAATAAATTATGATGCCTCTACCTTCAGATGCAGATAGAGGTATCTATTGTCACCCTGAGTGGTTTGGATAGTGACAAGATGGATGAGTGCTGTAATTGAAGCCCCTGTGCCCCCTTATCCTCATGGAGCCTCTGGCTGCCCAAGTCTTACACTTTCTCCCTCTCTTATTCAGTAGTTTAGTCCCATCTCTTCTCCATTCTCCAAATCCTGCATGGAATTTCCTGCCCCAAATCCCATGTTCTTAGTCCTCTGCCTTAAACTAACAGCTAAAAACTTGTTCCTAGGAAGCTGCTAATAACGTCTGATAAGGAGCCTGCAATACAATTCATGTCACTCTCAGGAGCTCAGTGATTCCTTTTGCTTGTGGAGAGAAATTTTCTCTTATCATCAATTAATATTTTATAGGTTGCTTGTTCTTTACATTACCTCCATCCCAAACAATTTACTTTTTGAACTCTCTTTCCCCTCCCCTAATCTCTGCTGAGTTGGGGTGGACGGGGGTTAGTGCTACCCCACTCGTAGGGAGATGTGATTTGCAGATGGTGAGCTGCTCCTAACCAGCTCATATTTTCCAGTCACTGAAGACAGCCACGAGCAGCCACTGCAGAGCAGCCCTCGAGATTCACCATCTGGATGAGGAAGAGGAATTGAGTCCTACCTGGCTTAGGACTTTCTTTTAGTTCCTCCAATGCATGACTCACCTCAACCTTCATCCAAACTGTTGTTCCATCTTCCTGGGACACTCCATTCCCTACACTCCAAGGGCTAACTTGGTGTCACGTTTCCAGTCTCAACATAAACTTTATTGCTTCAGGGAGAACTTTGCTAACCCTGGCAGATACACACTAAGTTAATGTTCCATGTTTAATGCTCCCACACCACCCAACACTTCTACTTTTATGACAGCCAGCACAACATATCCTGTTCTGTCACATTGCCCATCATTTACTCAGGTCGTCTTCCACCCTGGACTGAGAAGACCACTGTGGCTGCTGGTTTGGTATTGTGTTGCCAGTGGATAGCAAACATTTATCAAATGAATAAATAAAAGGTAAGAATAGTACTTGTTTCATTCTTATATCTGCTATAACATCTAGCAAAGTAACTGAAACTTAATTAGCATTCAATAAAATGCTTATGGATTAAATGCAGGAATAAGAACCCTAAGGATGTCAGCTGAATTCAGCACTACCCCAAATCAACTGGGAAAATCCTTCCTACCGTCGTTCTTTCCTGATCTCTCAGTGGGTTTCTTGCCTTGCTACTTGGCTCAGATAAAAGCTAGAAAGAACAGCACTACAGGAGGAAAAAAATGGTAATATGCAATGGAGACTAAACTGCTATAATCAAAAGTAATATTCTTCTCTCTCTCTTTCAACTCCTTCTATTGAATACCACCCCCATCCCCAGAGCAAAAGATCACTGGAAACACACCCATAAAAAAGTCACCCCTATATTTTTTTTATAAAAAGTATGCTATTTAGGTTCTCAGCCATGAATATGTAGCTGATATTGACTAATGGGAAATGTAAAAGGAAGAAAGCTACAGCTTTTTAAAGCATACTCATTGAAATTAAGGTCATATGTAAGAAATTTGTTTTAAAAAAATTTCTGAGCCACATCCAAAACTCTAGAGGGCATATTAAATAATGAAAATGTAAACTATTGGGATTTGGTGCTGGTTACTATGTTGGCACAGTACATAGCTCCCTGTGTGGCTTAAAAAATTAGGGAATTTTCCCTTCTCCCTTTATCTAGTAGCCTCCAAAATTAAAACAATTTTCTTTTCTTTGTGTAATAATACAAGCTAACCAAATTATGCTCTAATATTTTCATTCAATGACTTGGGAAGTCATGAAAATGCTTGTTTGGGGAGTTGCCCATATAGAAACAGAAAGAAAAAACCGTATCAAGAGGATTAAAGAGAGAGAGAGAGATAAAACAAAGAATTCCAAGGATTGTCACAATCTGATCTGCATAAATAAAAGATAATGGCTTCAGTGAGCTGGCCAACCTTTCTGTGGAGTGATCGGTCTGTAGAGAGTCATGTCTAAGAGGCTGCAGGTCATTATGGCAAGATAAAGCCTATTTCTCATTTATATTAAAGAATCTTGCCTGTTAAGGGCTTGATATGGATTTCAGACATAAATGTGCACAAGGCTCCACACCTTGTTAAGCCAATTTCTACGTATGCATTCCCTCCCTAATACACATGCAGATTTTATCATTCACAACTCAACTATTACACCTAACATACTTTTCTTGATTTACAAAGGGTAACATTTAGGTAGATCAGAAGTACTCAAATTGGGGGAATTGGATCATAAAATTTTCCCTTGACAAAGAAATTATTTTTTAATTTTGTACAGAAAAACGAATTTCCTTCCTTTTAAACAGGGCTTGCTACATCAAGAGAAGAAGGTTAAACTGTTTCCATTTTTTTAATATGTTTGATTCACTTTATTATAATATCTGGTTCCAGGCAAATGGATTGTTCCAAGTCAGCAACTGGAAACCTAAGCAATGGAAACTTTCACATTAAAAAACAAACAAATCAGACAATACAGTAAACAAACCCTGACTATAAAAATGGTTAAATACAGTATAGGAAACTCAGTAAAGTCAATGAGGTACCTTGGGTCCAAAAAGGAGCTATATGTATAATTGAAAGACTTCCTTGGCTGGGCCTTGTGAGGTGGCTGTAGCATTAGTGGGGTCCCTACTTTATAGGTCTACAGGTTGAGAAACTCAATGGGTACCTTCACCCAGGCACAAGCAGATCCTACTGTGTTGATTTACACAGTGGCTCAGGCCTGTAATCCCAGCACTTTGGGAGGCCAAGGAAGGTGGATCGCAAGGTCAGGTGTTCGAGACCAGCCTGACCAACATGGTGAAACCCCATCACTACTAAAATATAAAAATTAGCTGGGTGTGGTGGCACATGCCTATAATCCCAGCTACTCAGGAGGCTGAGGCAGGAAATTCGCTTGAACCCAGGAGGCGGAGGTTGCAGTGAGCCGAGATTGTGCCACTGCACTCCAGCCTGGGCGACAGACTGAGACTCTATCTCAAAATAATAATAATAATCAAAAATATATATATTTGGACACTGATTTCCAAATAATAAGGCAAATAATAAAATTTTGGTATTCTGTTTGTTTGTTTATTTGTTTTGAGATAGGGTCTAGCTCTGTCAGTCAAGCTGGAGTGCAGTGGCGTGATCTCAGATCATTACAACCCCCACCTCCCAGGCTCAGGAGATCTTCCTGCCTCAGCCTCCTGAGTAGTTGGGACTACAGGGTGCATAACCACGCCCAACTAATGTTTGTATTTTTTTGGTAGAGACGGGGTTTAGCTATATTGCCCAGGCTGATTTTGAACTCCTGGGGTCAAGCGATCCACCTGCCTCCACCTCCCAAAGTGCTGGGATTGAGCCACCACAACTGGCCAAGAATTAATTTATAAGGCAATAATAACATGACATAGTAGGAAATCTCTAGATAGAAGATAGGGCCTCTGGTCCTGGTCTACTGAGTTTCCATCACTGGGACTCTGTGAGTCACTTGATCTCTCTGGTTCTTTATTTTCCTTATATTTCCTAATCGAGAGGTATTCAGTTAATTCAATCAATGACAAAATAGTTCAATAGAAATATGGGCAAAGACAAGAACAGAAGGCAGTATGGTACTATGGTTTTCAAACAAAAGTCTGAGAAATTTGGAAGTCCCCAGATGTATCAATAACCGAGGAACTTGTACCAAGAAGTCCCACAGCATAGATGTTGGGATGATCTGAAAGTGCTGTATGAACAAAAGGCTCATTTTGCAAAGTGTTGCCAAATATGTGATGGGTGGACCTGGGAGAGATTATAAACTTATTTTATGGGAAGGTACTGCCTAGAACAAGCGTTCTCAATGGGAATGCTACTGCCCCTTAGGGGAGGTTTTGGAAATTAGATTGGGGTTAGTTGTCACAATGACTGGGGACACTAGTGGCATTTAGTTGACAGGAGGCAGAGGCACTGTGTGTCTTGCAATATACAAGATAGTCCTACACAAGGAATAATTATTCCAGTTCCCACAAAACGTCATGACATTGATGAAGGTATGTTTATAATTATCTAGCTTAGTTTTACATATAAACAATAGTATTATTTATGTCAACAAGCAAAAAAAAGATTGCATTATTGACTTCCCAGGATGATAACTGCAAAGTAAATCAAGGGAATATCATACTTTATGTTCAGATTTTTGTCAAAAGGGTTCACAGTTTTGGAAAGTCGGTCCACTCATGATATTCGAGTCAGCAATGAGACATTTACATCAGTCTGCATTTGTGGCTGTAGGATTCATAGTGATTCTACATATGGGGCAAACATCTTTTTAGAACAAATTCCTTCCCTTTTATTTCTCCCTTATAATAAAGTTAGGGCATAGTTTTGACACTTGCTGTCAAAGAGGTATTCAAAATATTTGTCATATGAAAGTGGAGCCTTGGGTACGACAACGTTGAGAACACTGATCTAGGGCAAAGATCATCTGTATGGCAGAAAAAGAACTTAAGGGAAGTTCTCAACAGACATGATGGGAAGAATTGCCCTTTCTGGGTGTGGGAGAAGGAGACGAAAATTTGAAGGGAGAGAGTAGGTGGAGAGACATGTCTGGTTCCTGAAGACCTGGTGAATATATAGCCATCCCAGAGAGATGGAAGGTTGAGGCAGGGGCTTTTGAGCCTCTTTTCCATTTAGAACCCTGGGAAGAGATACCACTTTGCATTTTGCTCCCGCTCAGAACTTGGTAATCACAGTAAAATAGGAATGGCAGAGGGGTACACATAGGCAGGAAGCCAAATTTGGTGGCCCTGAGATTCCCAAGTTTCACGTGGAAGATGTGGAAGGAAACCAGATATTCACAGGTATTCTCAGTGAGAGAGTCATGTGGCAGCTGAGAGTAGCAAGCCAGATGGTTAACCACAAATGGTCCTGTTGAGAGGATGACCCTGAAGCAGAGGCTCTGGGGTGGATGGTCAGACCAGAGCAGGATGGAGTCTGTGGCTGAGATCTGCACACTGCAGCACCCACAGAGCCAGGGGAGGAACCCATGACATTGCTAAGAGAATAGATCACAGCAGGAAAGACATCAGGTCCACTGTGTCCAGGTGAACAGGAAACATCTCCAAAATGGCCAGCACACACACCCAGACTCCACACTGTTACTACCAGGTCACCGATCCCCTGTGCTCAGCAGCCATCTCGCATAGGGGAACAAGGAGTAGAGACAGCCTGAAAGCCTGAGTCATCGCCCTAGAAGTGGGAAAGTTAACCCATTAGAAACGACGGAGACACTGAATGATCAAGTTTCAGTCCTCCCCTCTGCCAAAACCTTCCACACTCACTCGACTGGAAATACACACCAAAGTGAAAAAGAAATAAGCAACAGTTTTTGGACACATCTCAGTTTGCCAAGTATTGCGCTTTTATCCTTCTCTTGAGTATGTTCCTCTCCTTTCCATGTGCATCCGAAACTGGTCAACCTGAACTTGGACTGTGGGAACCAGAACCAAATGTGGGTCCGGTATACAGTACACAGCATTACATTTATCATGAACCTAAGACTATTAAAATAAAAACAAGAATAAGAATGCCATCTACTGGCGTGGAAAGCAGCAAGGCCCCTAACAAACCTGCAGTTAGTTTAAATGGGAGAAAGAATGAAAAGTTTTGCATTATTTTGTTATGAAACAGTGATAACAGCTAGAGAATAGAGATTTAAATATAAGTAGTATTAAGGGGACAGAGCACAAATAAATTTCTTTTAAACTAGTAAATCTTTCACATTCATGTCCCAATTTTGTGTTTGCTACTATAAACTCCATCTGAATGCAAAATAGATAAATATAATAAAACAGAGGTTTTATTTGTTTTACTGATTTATCAAGCTGTTTAAAAACAACCTAATGTTGATCTTTATTCATCATTTTTTTAAATGTGTTTATAAATTGCTTTGCCTATGTAAACAGAATGATAGAATATATGACTCTATTTGGCTGTTCCTATTTTCTGTATATTGAAATGGAATCGCATTTTTTTTGCATAGAAGGCAAACCAGACACTGATGAACCATACCTGTCAATATTGATTACCATTGACAAATATTGATATTTATATGAATTTTTATATAATATTTGTATGATTACCATTGATAAATATTGATATTTATATGAATTTTCCTCAGTTGGTTGATGATAATACAAATTTTTTAATTTTTCAGTGGAGAATTTATTTCTAATCACTTACTTGTTCTTTGAAAATCCTACTCAAATCATGATATTTTATTAGGTCCTTGATAATGTTTCCTTAAAATGTTCACAGTATCAAGGTTCATTTTATTGCCTATAAATATCTCATTGTTCTAGCACCACTTGTTGAAAAGATTATATTTTCCCCATTAAATTGCCTTGCCACATTTGTCAAACAGCAGTTGACTAAATGTGTGTTTATTTCTAGATTTTATATTCTGTTCCATTAATCTATTCATCCATACACCAATTCCACATTTTCTTGATCACTATAGCTTTATAGTAAGCCTTGATATCAGATAATGTAAGATTTACACTGACTTAACACTGTAAGTCATCCACATTTGTACTTTTTAAAGTTTTTTTGTCTATTTTGGGTACTTTCTACTACCATATAAATTTTAAAATAAGCTTGTCAATTTCTACAAAAAAGGCTGCAGGGATTTTAATTGGGCTTGTGTTTAATTTATAAATCAATTTGGGGAAAATTGCCATCTTAACAGTACTGAGTCTTCCAATCCATGAACACGGTATAGCTTTCCATTTATTTAGGTCTCCTTAAAATTTTGCTAAGCAATAGTTTGTAGTACAAAATTTAATTAAAAATGGACTACAGACCTAAATGTAGTGGTTAAAAACCACAAAAATTCTAAAAGAACACAGAATACATCTAGTGACCTTGGGCTTGGCAAGGTTTCCTTTTTTTTTTTTTCCAGATGGAGTCTCACTCTGTCGCCCAGGCTGGAGTGCAATGGCACGATCTCGGCTCACTGCAACCTCCGCCTCCCAGGTTCAAGCGATTCTCCTGCCTCAGCCTACCTAGTTGCTGAGATTACAGGCGCACACCACCATGCCTGGCTAACTTTTGTATTTTTATTAGAGACGGGGTTTTACCATGTTGGTCAGGCTGGTCTTGAACTCTTGACCTTGTCATCCACTCACCTCAGGCTCCCAAAGTGCTGGGATTACAGGGGTGAGCCACTACACCCAGCCCAAGGTTTTCTTAAATATGACACAAAAAAGCACACACTGTAAGACAAAATAATAAATTGGACTTCATCAATTAAAATTTTGTTCTTCTAAAGACATTGTGATGAAAATAAAGGGCAAGCCTCAGACTGGGAAGAAATATTTGCAAAGCATATATAAGAAAAAAAAACTTGTATCTAGAACGTACGAAGAACTCTTACAATTCAATTAGAAGACAACCCACTGTTTAAAATGAGAAAAAGACTTGAACAGATATTCGATCAAAGAAGATATACAGATGGCAAGTACATCAAAAGTTGCCCAATATTATTAGGCATTAGGGAAATACAAATTAAAACTACAATGAGATCTCGCTACATTTCCAAACATTACTTTTTTTTTTTTTTTTTTTAGTTGGAGTCTCACTCTGTCACCAGGCTGAATTGCAGTGGCGTGATCTTGGCCCACTGCAACCTCCACCTCCCAGGTTCAAGTGATTCTCCTACCTTAGCCTCCTGAATAGCTGGGATTACAGGTGTGCACCACCATGCCCAGCTAATTTTTGTATTTTTCATAGAGACATTGTTTGACCATGTTGGCCAGGATGGTCTCCATCTCTTGACCTCGTGATCCAGCCACTTCGGCCTCCGAAAGTGCTGGGATTACAGGCATGAGCCACCATGCCCAGCCCCAAACGTTACTTTTTTTAGAATGGCTAAAATTAAAAAGACTCTCCACACCAAGTGCTGGGGAGGATGTGGTGCTACTAGAACTTTTATATACTGATGGAGGAAATATAAAATTGTACAATAAATTTGAAAAACACTTTGACAGTTTTAAAGGTAAACATATACATGCCATACAACTCAGAGATTTCATTCTTAGGCATTTACCTAAGACAAATGAAAGCAAAGACTTGTAAAGGAATGTTCCTAGCAGCTCTATGTGTAATAGCCAAAACTGAAAACAACTCAAATGTCCCTCAACTGAGGAATGAATAAATAAATTGTCCTATATCCATATAATGCATTGCTACTCCACCATAAAAAAAGATTCAAATTTAAAAAAGAATAAGAATGTTGCTATGTGCAACAACATAAATTAACTCAAAATAATGTACTTTCTTATTGTCTGAACTATCTAAAAAACAAACAAAAATAATGAGCTGAATGAAAGAAGATAGAAAAAAAAACCCACATATTATATTATTCCATTTATATAAAATCTGATAAAATGCAAACTAAACTATAGTGACGCCATGCAGACCAGTTGTTGCCTTGGGAAGAAGAGGGAGGTTAGGGAGGGGAGTAAAAGATAGATTACAAAGGTTCACAAGGAAACTTTTAGAAATGTAGATACATTCACATATCTTGATTGTGGTGATGGTTTCATGGGTGTGTACATAAGTCAAAACTCATCGAAGTGTACATTTTCAATACATACAGTTCATGGTATGTTCATTATACCTCAATAAAGCTATAAAAATAGTGTCACACAGCAGTGGCAAAAAAAATGGTTAGATAATATATTAATTTTTAACTTTTCAATTATTCTTTTTTTTTTGAAACGGAGTCTCGCTCTGTTGCCAGGCTGGAGTGCAGTGGCATGATCTCGGCTCACTGCAACCTCTGCCTCCCAGGTTCAAGTGATTCTCCAGCCTCAGCCTCTCGAGTAGCTGGGATTACAGGCGCCCGACACCACGCCCAACTAATTTTTTGTATTTTTAGTAAAGACAGGTTTCACCATGTTGGCAAGGATGGTCTCGATCTCTTGACCTCATGATCCGCCCGCCTCGGCCTCCCAAAGTGCTGGGATTACAGGTGTGAGCCACTGCACCTGGCCTCAATTACTCTTTACTTTCAGGAATTTAGTTTTGCTTTGATATTTCTGGTGTTTAAAATGCCAATGACACTATTAACACAGTACTAATATAACAGATCTCATATTCGTGTACTTGTGCTCAGGGTAGAGCTGCAGAGTAATGTAACTGCATCTTCAAGCTTGATCCCACCCTCCCCCTCAAAAAAAATTCTGTCATTGCACTCTACCTATATTTTTGATAAACAAATTAAGAGTTCACAAATTATCTCTACAATTGAGTTTCAGCATTCAATTATTAAATCCATCTATGCTGGTAGATATGAAAATGCAACGTTTGGCAACTTTTGAGGTTCTTAAATGATCCAACTGGTCGTGCAGACTAAAATAAAACCAACAATAAAAACGCAAGCCAACCTCACATAGTTGCTAGCTAAATTACCATAAAAATAAAACCACTTCCCCCACCCTAGAGTTGGCCTTGTTAATAGGGTAGAAACGTAAGCTTTCAAGTATTTCTTGGGTTTTCTTCTTTTCCAGTGGCCACTGGGCCTGCTTCCCTTTACTGAGAATGAAGTTAATAACAGAATGACAGGAAACAGGCATTATTCATTTCACATGTGGACAAGAGAAGTGAAGGGAGAACTTTCTTCTATTTGAGCTTAGAAAGAAGAATTTAGAAGTGGCCGTTCTTAGAACAGCATCACAGTGATACTGTAACTTGTAAAACACCTTTGGAGGCATGAGAGCTCATCATCCATTTCCCTCTGTCCCAACAAGGAAGTTTTAAACAATCTCAAATGACTGTAATAATTTACAAAAGTCTTCAAATCTTTGGAAGAGAAACCCTGAATCTCTTTTAGAAACATTCTTTTCAGCCAGGGTTCATCCCAACTTTAAGGGAACCTCTTCAAGGATCAAAGAACTCATTACTTTTAGTTTCCTCTTGTTTCAGAGTCCATGACCAGCTCTTAGTCCTGGCTATAAACACGTTCCCAGCTCTTCACACTCTGGCTACAAAGAGTGACTCTTCATAGGAGGAACAGCTGGAGGAGCATGACTTTGAGGGGCTCTCAAGGCCCACCTCCCTCCTCTCCCAGGCTAAGCATTCAATAAATATCTGTTAATGTAGGATTAAATACATCTCAAGCATAGACACAGTGAACTGAAAATGTTACCTTTAGAATCCAAAATGGTTTAGACCAGCAGTCCCCAACCTTTTTGGCACCAGGGATTGGTTTTATGGAAGACAATTTTTCCATGATGGGGGATTGGCGGGGGGATGGTTTGGGGATGAAACTATTCCATCTCAGATCATCAAGCATTAGATTCTCATAAGGAACAAGCAACCTAGATCCCTCGCATGCGCAGTTCACAAGAAAGCACGTGCTTCTGTGAGAATCTAATGCCGCAGTGGATCTGACAGAGTGGGAGCTCAGGCAGTAATGTGTGCTCGCAGCTCACCTCCTCCTATGCAGCCCAGTTCCTAACAAGTCACAGACCGGTACGTGTCTGCAGCCTGGGGGTTGGGGAGCCCTGGTTTAGATCAAACAAGTGGGAAAATTGTCTCCAGAATCAGAAAGTATTTACTTTATAGAGTCACTGTGAGAATTAAATGACATTTCTGCAAGGAAGCACCTAATAGGCACTATCTGGAAAGGAGGCGCCTCAGAGAATATCAAGACAACAAAACTGAGTTGCAGAAGGTTGAAGCAACTTGTGAAAGTCACTCACTCAGCTCGTGCGAGAAAGAGCAGGCTTGGAACTCCCATGTCGTAGCTCCTAGGCCAGCGCTTTGTACTTGACAACGTCACCATAGAACTCCAGGAATTACACGGAACTTTCCAACAAATCCAGGACCTTCAGGGTAATGAGATCCAAAATGGGCAAATTTCAGTGGGGAATGACATGTGAAGAAAACAGAGCAGGAAAGAGTAAATGCACAAGATTCTCTTCAAGTTCAATGTTCAATCACTTGTTTTCTCACTTCCACCATACTCTTGATGGGCATTTTTAGCTTTGTTTTATGAAAGAGAAAACTGGGATTCTGAAAAGTTCGGCAATGTATCTGAGGCATGGTCTTCTGACTCCAAGTTTAGCTCTATTTCTACTCCATAGCAATACCAAGGCTTGGATGGAAGCATGCAATGAGCATCATAAAGGGGTCAGGCTAGGAGAAGCCACACAGGGTGACAGCCTGGGTCTGGGGAGGACAAGGAAAGTCCTTGGGAAAGGAGGACACAGAGACACATTCACCTGCTTTACAGTGGGGCAAGGGCCCTTCTAAAATCGAAGCATGGAATACAGCAGCCTGGCCATTGTCTAGGACGGGTAACTACATCTGTCCAGGCCAAAGAACTTGATGTCAAGCTTGACCCCTCTCTTTCTCATACCCTGCAACCAATCTGCTATGAAATCCTCCTGGCTGTCCCTCCAAACAACAGCAGACTCAAAACCCTGTCTCCACCTCCAGTACCACCGCTATCTCCAAGCCACCAGCTTTCCCCTGGATTATCCTATTAGCCTCCACATCCGTTCTCCCTGCTCTACCTTTGACCCCTTCAGCCTCTTCTCACACCATCAATCAGAATGAATCTTTTCCCCCCCAACATTTTATTATGAATGTTTTCAGACTTACAGTAAAGCTGAATTAATTTTTTTTTTTTTTTTTTTTTGAGACGGAGTCTCGCTGTGTTGCCTGTGCTGGAGTGCAGTGGCATGATCTCGGCTCACTGCAACCTCAGCCTCCCAGGTTCAAGCAATTCTCCTGCCTCAGCCTCCCAGGTAGCTGGGATTACAGGCACCCACCACCGTGCCCAGCTAATTTGTGTAATTTTAGTAGAGATGGGGTTTCACCATGTTGGCCAGGCTTGTCTTGAACTCCTGACCTCATGATCCGCCTGCCTTGGCCTCCCAAAGTTCTGGGATTATAGACATGAGCCACTGTGCCGAGACTGAAAAATTTTTTACAGTGAATACGTATATCCACAACCTAGATTCTATCGTTAACACTTGATGATGCTTGTTTCATCACATTATTTATCCCTCTTGAGAGATTATTTAAAAATGTAAGTCTGATCACATTGCTCTTTTCCACAAGAATCTCCAAAAGCTTCCTGTCTCTCTAAGAGTAAAAGCCAAACTTTTGTAATGACCCAATAAAGATGTGAGCAATCTGCACCATCCCACACCCTGCATCTCTACATCTCTCCTCTGTCTTCATCTCCCGCTGGGTCCCACCTTCTTTCCTCCACACACAGCTCCTTCCCTCCAGCCACACTTGTGTCCTTGTATATTTTAAGATACACCAGGCTTTTCACTGTTCTTTCCCTCTGCCTGGAACTCTCTTCCTACAGATTTCTAAGTGAGTCAGTCCCTCACTTCTTTCACAGCTTTATTCAAACAGCCCCTTTTGAGTAAGGTCTTCCCTGGCCATCCCATTTAAAGTCGCAAATCACCCCTAAAATTGCCTTCCTCTTTTCCCTGCCATTTTTTCCCCTCCATAGCCTTCATTACCCTAACATTCTACATTTTAGTTATTAGTCTTATCTATTGTTGGTCTCTCCCCATTGTAATTTGTTATTAATATCTGCAACATACATTGCATCAGGTAATTTAGATATACTGACCTCAATTTGATTTGTACAATAGGTACCTGAAATGTCACTTATTCTCTTTTAATAATAAGGAAACAGCCTCAAGGAAGCTAAATAACTTGCCCAAGACCACCAGTGTATGTGGGAGCAAGAATTAAAATTCAGATCTCTCAATCTGCAAGATCCATTGTTTTTCGGAAGGTGCGGTAGCTCATGCCTATAATCCCAGCACTTTGGGAGGCTGAGGCCAGCAGATGACTTGAGCTCGGGAGTTTGAGACCAGCCTGGGCAACATAGAGAGACTCTGTCTTTACAAAATTTTTTTAAAAATTAGCCAGGCGGCCGGGCACAGTGGCTCACACCTGTAACCCCAGCATTTTGGGAGCCTGAGGCGGGTGAATCACCTGAGGTCAGGAGTTCGAGACCAGCCTGGCCAACATGGTGAAACCCCGTCTCTACTAAAAATAAAAGATTAGCCGGGGGTGGTGGCACGCACCTGTAGTCCCAGCTACTCGGGAAGCTGAGGCAGGAGAATCGCTTGAACCCAGGAGGTAGAGGTTGCAGTGAGCTGAGATCGCACCACTACACTCCAGCCTGGGTGACAGAGCAAGACTCCATCTCAAAAAAAAAAAAAATTAGCCAGGCTTACTTAAAGAGTCTCACTCTGGTCTCACAGTAGTCATGCCACTGCACTCCAACCTGGGCAACAGACTGAGATCCTGTCTTTAAAAAATCCATGTTTTTTTTCACCATATAGCACAGGAACCTGTATGATGAGATTGGTGGAGCCCCTCGGCAGGCACCCTAACTAAAGGCCTTTCTCACATTCATCCCTCATTTTGTACTTAAATGGTTGGTTCTTCAAGATGTCCCTCTTGAAACTCTAATCCTGAAAGGGAAGAAATATGAAGCCAGGAATAATCAATATTTCTTTAGGGATGGATTAGATGACAAATAAAAAGAGAACATGTGCCTTGGGCATGGTATTCAGGGTAAGGGCCTAGAGTGAGTAGAGTAGAAAATCAAAGATTACAGAACTGTCCAGGGCACTGATGGGCCCAAAGATATGCTTCACAAACTTTTCATTTTTCCCAGAGACACACTAGGACTAATTCTAGGAAAATCATACGTACATCACTACTCCATTCCTCAATAATAGAATTTATTACATAACATAGTAATATACCTGTTGCTATACTGTTGTTTTTGTTCACTAAACTGTGAGACTCTTGAGCCTGGGGAATGTAGCTTACTCATCTTTGAATCCCCAGTGCCTAGCACAATTTTGGGCACATAATAGGAGCTTAATAAATGTTTGTTGAATTAGTTGATGAAGTAAACGATTGAATGGATTATCATACAAGACCTGGGAGGAACCGAGAAAGGAAACTCTAATAATCAGCCATGAAAACTCTTTTTGAGCCTTTTGTCTTTTCTCCTGACTTCAAACACAGACAGAACTATCTTAAATAACACTATTGCAATGGGATTTCAAAGTGATTACTGCATATCACAATAACTAATGTTCCAATTTAGAGCTGTGGGTGATTGGTTCAGTATGAAACAGCAGTGAATGCTGAGAGAAGTGCCTGAAATCCAGTAGCTCATTGGTTAAATATTGGTTTAATTTAAATCTGAATCTTAATCCAGGCACCCTTTCCCTCCCCATGCAACCTTTTTTTAGTTCTCCCTATTGTATGACTGTATCTGTGTCTGTGCACTATATTGCACCATAAATTCTTGAAATCAGGGACCATGATTTATTCTTACAACTAGAAGAGCAATGCTTTAAAGATAGCGAGGATTCACAAGGTATTTGTGAAAACTAACAAGTCAGATGTACTCTCTTCCCATTCACTCCTGGTTAGAGTCAGTGAGAGCAGGCTTTTACCATGACAAGTCAATTGTCATTACTAGTTCAAACCCATATTAGGGTGGGAAAAAAATAGAAGGCATCAGCTATCTGATACGGTTTGGATCTGTGTCCCCACCCAAATCTCATTTTAAAATGTAATCCCCAATGCTGGAGGTGGTGCCTTTGTGAGAGGTAATTGGATCATGGGGGCGGTTTGTCATGGTTTAACACCATCCCACCTTGGTGCTATCATCACAAAAGTGAGTTCTTGTGAAATCTAGTTATTTAAAAAGCGTGTGGTGTGGCACCTCCCTCCAAACTCCCTGCTTTCTTAGTCCTGTTCCTGCCATGTAACATGCCTGCTTCCACTTTGCCTTCCACTATGAGTAAAAGCTCCCTGAGGCCTCCCCAGAAGCGGATGCTGCTGTGCTTCCTTGTATAGCCTACAGAACCAGGAGCCAATTAAACCTCGTTTCTTTATAAATTACCCAGTCTCAGTGGGTAATTCATTCATAGCAGTGCAAGAAGGGACTAATACACGATCCCACAAGAAAATCTAATGGATTGTGTGTAAGAAAATGATGATTATTAAGCGTGATAAAACAATAATAATAATTAATATTAACTAACATTTATAGAACACTTGCTCTTTGTCAGAACCGGTGCTAATGTATTTACATACATCAGCTCACTTAGTCCCCACAACACAAAATTCATTATATACAATGATTATGCCCCATTTTCTGAATGAGCAAATAAAGGTATGGAGTCATTGAGCAGATCTCCTGGGGTTCTCCCTAAGGGTTGAAGCAGGGTTAAGAGCAGGTTTGTTTGGGCTCAGGGATTCTGCAGATCTAAGTTATCAACATAATTTTTATTGCTTTACTTTATTCAGAGTTTATCTTTTATTTTTTTCTACTTTTTAGCTCTATTTTTTTATTTAATCAGGCTATTTTTTAGTCTTTTAGAGATAGTCTACAAATATAGGATCTGAATTATTTCCAGAGTGCCTGTAGCTCTTTGTAGGAGTTGAGAGAGCTGATTTCTTGAGTGTCCTGAACTGTTCTATCACTTATAGTAATAATTACAGAACTAAAGTTATAATAAAATGGGATGTTTTAACCCATATTTTATGAGTCACAAGTGGCCTCTAAAAAGCTGCCATTTTATTATTTCTTTTAGAGATACTTAATAGGTAATGTCAGTAGTAAAGTTTAGTGTCCAACCAGCACTTAATATTTCCTATCTCCAGAATTATCAGCCCTCCCTAAAGGAAGAATAATCAAAGGAGATTTGTGATGTGTACATGTGTCAATCTAATGTCATATCACCTAGGTTAAATACTGAAAAATAAAGAAGTAGAAACTAAAGGGCTGCATCAACTATACAGATTGGGCAATAAGAAAAAGCACTGAAAAGAACCAAACTGAGGATATTATCCAGAAAATTAAAATTGTATGTGGCTGTACATATTGCATCTACTACCTGGAAGAAATGGCCTTAAGTTGTAGACACAGCATGAAACAGCCATTGCAGAGTTGGTTAGTTTCACATTAACTCATATAATCTGACCTCTTCTGACATAGTTCAACATCTAAAAATTTTTCATTCTGTTCTAATAAACTAAACATCTCTTCACCTGGGTTCGGCTAGATTTCCAGTAACTACCCTTAACTAGAAGCTGGGCTCCTACAGCTGCTGATTAACTGAATTCTTTTCAGCCCTTGCCTAGTTGCTTCAATTCCAATTCCTTCTTTGCATTTTCTGCAACAGAAGTATACATATTTACATCTAGGCATTATTGGAAGTAGTTTGTCAGCTCATAATTCAGCTTGCAACAAACCCTATTTGTTCCTTCCCCATACACCACTAACCTAAGATTGTAAATTCATTCAGGCACTACTGAAGTCTCTCCATATGGAGTTAACACACACAGTAGCTGTTGCTCAGAGGTTTACCAGAAGGCCCCAGAACTTTTGAAGATATAGGAAATGTAAGTGATTGATCAGTGTATATAATACCAATTCTTTGAGATCTGTTGAGACCTGCTTTTCAATCTAGTTTATGATCATTTTTTGTAAACATCCCCCGTGTGCTTAAGAATGTTATTCCTTAAGAGCTAGGTGCAGATCTCTGTTTGATCAAACTTGTTTATTGTGTTGTTCAAATATTTATATCTTCATTAGTCTTTCCTCTTAGATATTACGATAATTGAGACAGATGAAATGAGTTTTTCCCTACTTATGGTGGTCTTATCTTCCTGTGGTTCTACACTTTTGTCTGCTTCATATACTTAAAATATTTCATTAGAGATATACAAGCTTAGAGTTGCTGTATCTTCCCGGTGATTTCAGTATTTTATTATTATTTAGTGACTTTCTACATTCCTATTTGTCCTGACATTTTTGTTATTCCAGTCATAAAGCAGTTTATATGTAAATTGCCATATGCTGTTAGGTTAAACCAATAGAATCCTGTCTATGAAGGATTTGCCATTTTGTTGTAAATGTAACAACCCATGGCACAAACACTTACAAGAAAAAGAGGGAAAATATAATAATAACACTTTCTGTCTTAAAGCCTAACCTGTCTGATAATGATACATCTCTACAACCTTTGTGTTGGTTAACATTTGATTGGTATATGTTTTTCCATCCTTTAAATGATTCTATGCCTTTATACTTCAGATGTTAGCTAGAATGTTTTTAAACTAATCTGATCACTCCTGTCTTTAACTAGTATGTTTAATCTATTTTTCTTTACTCTATGATTGATATGGTTGGACTTGTTTTTGCAGTCTTTTTTATTTGTATTTGCCCCATTCGTAGTGCTTCTTGACGTTTTGGGGTTTATGTTATTTGTTTACTTTCGTTTGCTTACTTATACTTTTGTATATACTGAACCTATTGTGTATACTTCTTCAGAATCTCTTGCTCTACCTATCTTTTATTTTGGCTGCTGCTGCAGTGACCATTTCTATGTGGGCTCCATCCAGCTTGACATTGTGCAACCTGACAGCACCTTGCCTCAGCCCACATGTGTTTCTCACTTCCTGCCCTGCCGCTTCTGTGTTAAGCCATGGCTGGGGATGCCACACATGCAGGCATAATAGAGAAAAAGGGGGAAGCACCAATGGATAAATGCTTTTTTTTTTTTTTGAAAGGAAAGCCATGAAATTCATTTCATACAGCCTTTCAGCTGTATCCCAAATGTCCCTAACGTGGAAGTAAGTAACCAGTTGCCTGTAGCAGCAGAGAGAAAGAGAAAAAAGAGAAGAGAGGAGGAAGAGTTTAAATGAGAAGATTCTGACTTCTTACAACTCAAAATACTGGCAGTGGACAGATGTTAGCAACTCATGAAGCTCCATAGCTTTATAAAATAGGGACAATAAGGTCTGTTTACCTCACAGGATTCTTTTAAGAATTAAATGCATAATGTAGGTAAACCTGTATTTTAAAGTCTTTCTCTAAGTTTAAAGTGCTGTTTTAGCATGAAGGAGTGTTATTTATTATTGGCAATATGTTGGGGTGGCAGACGGTATAAATGATTGCTATGCTTTCTAAAGATGATTCTAATACTAGACAGAAGCAAAATATTTCTTAAATGCTACAACAGTGGGACTTGCCTTGAAATTATCTTATCTATTTATCAATTCACTTCACAAATATTTATTAAGCCTAATGTTGCCATTGATGCTTCTGTTTGGGAACCAGTTAATTGCTGGTTCCACCCTGTAGTATGTGACAGGAACAAATTACTTAACATCTCTTAGCCTCAGTTTTCTCCTCTTTCAAATGAGAATAATAATAATAATGATAGCAACAATGCAATAATAACTTCAAAATTAATATGGAGATGAAGACTAGCTGTTTTCCCTCTGACTACATACACTGCGCTGTGTGAGACTAGGCCCTATGGAGGCAAGGGATGTTCATATTAGCCTTGAATACTTCACGGAAGAAGGTTTTAGAAAACGCTTGAATTATAACCTGGAAGGACTTTGGGTTTGGGTTGCCCTGTCCCCCTTGCTACTTCTTTTGCCTTATTTTGGAAAAAGTGCTGTGAAGAAGAGTAATGCTGCAGGAAGGAATTGCTTGAAGTCCTCCTGAAGATTCTCCCAGCAATGAAGGGCAGAGTCTGAAATATCCATAGTTGGGCTGTGAGAGACAGCACAGTGTGAGTAATTGCCAAGACTTAGTACCATGCCACTCTGGGAGTACATTATTTATAATTAGTGCCAGTAGGACTAGACACCTGTCTGCTCCAAAGGCATGAAATGCACACGATTTACCTCCATTCCAGCATTTCATCAAGAAAGAGCAATAGACACCTCTGTGCTTGAAAAGCGCAGCTCGACGACTCCCTATTGACCCCTGCCCAACTTTTGAGTTAATGCAAAAATTTCTATTTTTCTGATTTTATCTTTTTTTATGGCTGGGATATGTTATCTAGATCTTTGTACTGCTCATATTAATGTAGTCTCTAAACACAAGTCAAAATTCATTCTCTGATCCCAAAAGAGACTATAACTACTTTAAAGAATTTCTCTCCACCAATTCTTTTTTCAAGGGAATCCAGCTGACAGGACTGAGTTATTTCAGATGGTTTAGATACAAAATTTTATGCACACATTTGTTTTTATATATACTTCTAGGTGTTCACACATATCTTTCACCTCTTTCAAAATTTAGAAGGAATAAAAACACGAGCCTTGAGTACATCATACAAAATCTACTATCTGTCTGGCACATTCTTTGTTCAGACAAGTCTCCTTTCTGCATCGTCTTCTTTGCTGAGCCTATTTTATTCCATTTGAAGAGGCCAGTGTAAGTCTCTTCAGTTTGCACTAAGGCCTCGTACTCTTACTGTATAACTTGGGAAAGCAATCTGAAAAACAGCCATCTTTCGGGACTTCAGAAGCACCAAATCACAGTAAACTCCACGGAGGGAAGCAAAATAGAATGAAGAAGTCAGCCAATATTTTATTCCATTCCTATGAGGAAGGCTACAAAGAAAACTTGTTTACACAAAAGTCAATACATCCAGAACATTCTTACACTTTCTAGGTAGGCTTCCTATGGGGTTACAAGACAAAAGTACATTGCAGCAGTCAAATTATTTACCAAATAAAACAGCACTCACCCAGAAAGTGAACACACAATTCCAGTGATGTTGCATAGTCTCTCTGGCAACTGCTTTGTGCAGTATCAATCACAGTTTTTAATAATTTTAATTTTTAAATGGGGCAATAAATTTAAGTGGTATAAAAATATCAGCATATTTAACATTTCTTATTTGTCCTGACATTTTTATTATTCCAAACATAGAGCAGTTTATGTGTAAATTGCCATATGCTGTTAGGTTAAACCAATAGAATCCTGTCTATGAAAGACTTGCCATTTTGTTGTAAATGTGTATAACAACCCATGGCACAAACACTTACAAGAAAAAGGAAAAAGTATCACATGAAAGTAGCAAGCAAACTTTGTACCTGTCTCAACAGAGTGGTAAATAATCTTGTGTTTGTCTTTGACTATGTTCTAACAATGGCCATGTTCTCTGTTTTACATGAAGGACATTAGGTAATGAAACATTATTTTTATTAGAAAATTTAGCAATTAAACACAGGATATGTGGGTCCTGATGGCAAAGACTATGTCTTTAACTGTGTCGCTATCTTAGCTTTTAAAACATACTTATGCATACATCCCCACACATACATACACTCACACACAAGCACACACAGTGCAAGGCACAAAACAGGTAACTAAATATTCACCACAGTCCATATTCAAAGAGAACTTTTTTTTTATTTTTTATTTTTATTTTTTTGAGATGGAGTCTTGCTCTATTACCCAGGCTGGAGTGCAGTGGCACAATCTTGGCTCACTGCAGCCTCTGTCTCCTGGGTTTAAGCGATTCTCCTGCCTCAGCCTCCTAAGTAGCTGGGATTACATGTGTGTGCCAGCATGACCAGTTAATTTTTGTATTTTTATTAGAGATGGGGTTTCGCCATATTGGCCAGGCTGGTCTCAAACTCCTGACCTCAGGTGATCCACCCGCCTCAGACTCCTAAAATGCTGGGATTACAGGCGTGAGACACTGGCCTAAAAATTTTCTGTAAGATAAAATAATTAACTCAAACTTATTTCCTCTCTAAAACTGTTATCATAGAGTTTTGTTCCTACACAAAGACTGTTTCACAGAAAAGTGAATATTACCCATATTTTAAGTCATTTAATTGTCTATTTGTTATGTACTTTATTTTACGATCTAGCATTCTAAGCCATACTGAAATAAATTGAATAGAGCAATAGAACAAATTGCATGACATTAAATTTTTATATATCTAGCAGATCTTTGGGACAGTGGCTATTTAGGATGACAAAAGGGGACAAAGTAAGCAGTGGGATTTGAAGAAACAATTACATGATCCCAGGAAGGTGTTTCTTCTAATATCAATGATTCACTCTTTCATTCAATAGTTACTAATGCCTCTTAAGTACCAGGTCCTCTCCTAGGCACTGGGGATACAGAGGTGAGCAAGACCAACAAAGTCCCTGCTCTCATGGAGCTTACATTCTGTCAGTAAAGAATGTAAATTTACAAATTAGTAGTTATATAATGTCCAGTAGTGGTGAGTGCTGTGAAGTAAAGACAGCAGAACAATGTGACGCTCTTAAGCAGAGGGCAGCGTAATCTGATTTACACTTAAAATATCATTCTGCTGCTATGTAGAGAATAAACTGCAGTAAGCAACTGTGGAGGACAAGCTAGAATGGTATTGTCTTAGACAAGACAGGAAATAAGGACAGCTTGAAGTAGAGTATTATTGATGAAAGCCATAGAAGGGGTTATATGTGGAATCTATTCTGAAGGTAGAAGCAACAGGATTTGCTAATGGATTGGATGTGGAGTGAGAGAGACAGAGAGGTGTCAAGGATGATTTAAAGGTTTGGAGACTGAAAAAATACTGAATGAAGAAGAAACCATTTAAAGTAAGTGACATTAAGAAAAGAGTAGGTGTTCATGGAATACTACTGAGCCACAAAAAGGAATGAAATAATGGCATTCACAGCAAGCTGGAGTTGGAGACCATTATTCTAAGTGAAGTAACTCAGAAATAAAAAACCAAATATTGTATGTTCTTTCTTATAACTGGGAGCTAAGCTATGGGGATCCAAAGGCATAAGAATGATATAATAAATTTTGGGAACTGGAGGGGATGGTGGGTGGGGAATAAAAGACTACACATTGGGTGCAGTGTATACTGCTCAGGTGACAGGTACACCAAAATCTCAGAAATTACCACTAAAGAATTTATCCATGTAACCAAAAACCATCTGTTCCCCCAAAACTATTGAAATTAAAAATAATAATAATGATAAATAAAGGAGGAGGTATACAGGGGAATATTCAGAGTTCTTTTGGGCCTCTTAAATTTCAGACGCCTGTTATACAACTGAGTAAAGATGCAGAGGACGTAGTTGAACATGCCAGTCTGAGACTCAAAAGAAAATTCAAGCTAAAGACACAAATGTTGGCATTATCAGCAAATAGATGATATCAAAGCATCAGGAGTGTATGTATCATCTAGGAAATCAATGTTCACAGAAAGGTGAAAAGGTCCAGTGACTGAGCTCTGAAACATTCTAATAGGTAGAGATCAAGAAGAGGAGGATGATCTGGAAAAGGAGTAGAGAATGAGTGGTCTACCAAAGAGGAAAAAAAACCAACAGGGTCAACAGGGTGCAGCCAAATGCCAGATAGTGTTTCCAGAAGAAGGGAGAAACCAACAGGTCCAAATTCTGCTGGTAGACTGAGTAAATGAGCACTGAGAATTGTCCAGTGGACTTGGCAGCGGGACAGTCCTCAGTGTTCTTGATGAAAGTAGTCACAACAGAGTGCTAAATGCAAAAGACAGATTTGAAAAGTTTTAAGAAATAACGTGGGATGAAAAGTGAAGAAAGCAAATATAGACAACTGAAGAAACTTCTCCATAAAAGGGAAGAGAGACAGGGAAGTGTAGCTATATGGGGGATCAGGATTCAAGGCAGGAATTTTTTTTTTAAGAAAATGGAGATTATTGGCTGGGCACGCTGGCTCAAGCCTGTAATCCCAGCACTTTGGGAGGCTGAGGCTGGTGGATCACCTAAGGGTAGGAGTTCAAGACCAGCCTGACCAATATGGTAAAACCCCATCTCTACTAAAAATACAAAAATTAGCCAGGCGGGGTGGTGGTGCCTGTAGTCCCAGCTACTCAGGAGGCTGAGACAGGAGAATTTCTTGAATCGGGGAGACAGAGATTGCAGTGAGCCGAGATCGGGCCACTACACTCCAGCCTGGGTGACAGAGTGAGACTCCATATCAAATAAATAAGTAAATAAATAAATAATAAAATGGAGACTATTATGCCATGATGTATAGTTACATAAATTCTACTGCAACAGAGGGAAAAAGTGATGATGCAAGAGTCTTCAGGTAGGTATGAAGGTCTAGGATCCAGTGCCCTGAGGTGGAGTTGGCCTGAGTTAGGAGAAGGGATAGTTTATCCACTGCAACAAGAGGAAGCACAGGGTGCTTGGTATGGATACACATGGGTGGGTTGAGTAGAAGGGGAATGTGGAAGTTCCTTTCTGATCGCTTCCATTTTCTCAGTGACAGAAGAAACAAGGTCTTTAGTTGAGCATGAGTACGGAAAAGAGAGTGTAAAAATTAGAGGAGATCAGAGTGAGTGTAAAATAGCCGTCTGGAAGGGTGGGAGGCAGGAACTACAGCCATATTTAAGAAGAGAAGTTATCGAGACTGGGAATGAAACAAAGATTGTGAATTCACGATTCACCAAGGAGACATTTACAACAAGAAGATGTGAGAGGCATAGGGAAGCAAACTGAGTGCCAGAACAAGAAGGAGGATGGCCTTCTTATGCTCAAGTCCATCACAAGGCTGCCTGTCTAGGGACAGAACTTTAGCTCTGCTTCCTATAAGCAGTTAAAATTCTAGGGTGCTATTGAGCCCTTGGATGTGCTAACATGATGACTTAATAAAATGTCTTTCACATGAAGAGGCACTATGGCACCACAGAAAATGATGAGGCTTGGGAGTCAGATGGACAGGGTTCAAACTCAATCTCAGTGACTTGCCTGTCAAATGATGCTATTGGATCCATTACTTGTTTTTTTCTGAAATTCAGGTCCCTTATTTACAAAGTAAAGATGTTAATATCTCCTTTTGAAGATTGCTGTGATAATGAGAGATAACGATAAAGTATCTTACAGAGTACAAGTAAAATTACTAAGTTAAGTGTTTGGACCTCTCTTTAAACGTGTCAGCTCAAACATATGCATTTATCTTCACTCTCTCCAAAAATCACACTAAAGCAACAGTAAAGAATAAAAAAAATCAGAAATACGCAGGGACAAAGATAATAGGAGAGAAGAAAAGAGCATACCAGATCACATCAAATTTTGAAATGTAAAAGTTTTTCCACGTGTTTAATCTGACATATAGGAGTTAAAACCTGCATATCTTCTAATAATAAGAAGCAAGATGTCTTCAGTCACAGAGCCCCAGAAAGACTCCGTAATTGGAGGTATGAAATACTTATCAAGTGGAGGTGAAAAACAGGGCTGAAAAAGGGGCAATCAGTGAAAAGCCTAAATAACATATCTCTATTATGTGAAGTCAAATGACCACCCCTCCCAATTTCTCAAGAAAGCTTATTGGAGAACATGAAATTTGGGAAAATTGAATAAAAAAGCTACAGGTGAGGGGGTTGTTTTGGTTTGGTTTTTTGTTCAGGGTGCTAAATAGTACTGAAAATTGATAACAAACCAAGTCAGCCTAATTTACAGTCTCGAAGTTAGGTGACATTATATTAAACAGATGATCAACCATCAAAATTACTACAGCAGTGTTTATTTTCCAGATCACATTTTGTAGTCTTTGAAATGTCAGATATGCACTCCCACTGAGAGGCAAATGTGGATATACATATGCAAGGATGTCATCAACATGGAGAAGATTGAAAGCAAATGTGCAAGGACTCATTACAGATTTAATCCTTCCAACAATTCTGATTAAACAAGGGACCGACAGGTTGTTTGATTCTGAGGATTTGGGTTATTGATTATTGACATAGGAACTGGATCCCCTGAATATTTCACCAAATGGAATTTTGGATTTGAAAATTTGTGGCTTCCAAATAAAGGACATTCATTTATAGTGTGCTTTATTCATATTAACATTACACACTTCCTTCTGACCTATAACAGACTGAGAGCTGTCACCTGAGGCACTGTCTTCTTTTTTATCACATTAAAGAGCAAAAAGCCACAAACAGCTTATTAATGAGTCTTAAAGACCCTTGAAAATACAGAAGAAACCCTCTGAACTAATGATGGGAAATGTTAGCCCAGACCCCATGCCGATCACTCATCCCAAGCACTTACATTGCCTTTGCTTTCTAGCTGTGTCAACACCATACTCCTCCCCAACCTCACTCGGCTGTACACACTGTGTATGTTTAGCCATGACATACAGGTGAGTGGCTTCTCCCAGCAGCCACCCTCCTCAATCCACCTGATCCTACTCCCAGCCACAAAACACTGGGACATTAATTGGGAAAGATGGCTCTCCTTCCTTCAGACTCCTTGTGCCTTTGTCCTCACACTGTGTGTAGGGACAATAGCTGCATTTCTTTCTTTGAAGGGTTCATAGTTTATAGGAGGCAACAACAGCCACAAAGACGATTGCCAGGTATTGAATGAGGACTAGCAGAGAAGTCAGCACAAGGACGAGCCAAGTGAAGGGAGATGCTCACTCTGGCCCCATCTGAGGCAGCATTGGAGCGAGGCCTTGAATTTTGGTGGGGTGGAGGACAGCAATCAGCCAAGTCCAAGGGCAACATTCCAGTCCTGGGAACAGCATCTGAAGAGCAAGGCATTGCCTGGAACCTGGAAGGATAGTGTTTTCAAGAAACTATAATTGGGTTTCATGTCACTGAGGCTGAAATAGGTAAGTAGGGAATGGAAAGGTACAAAGTTTAGGATAAATTGCAAAGGGCCTCATATGCTGGGCTAAGAAGCTTGGGTTTTTATCTTGTAGGTAGCAGGGAACCATTCAGAATTTTGAAGTAAGAGAATATAGTCCTGGAAGTTTCAAAATGAATCTGCTTCTTCATGTTCTATCACATATTCACCTACCTAAGAAGACTCTGAGAAGTTTCTTATCTCCATTTCAGAGTTTATAGGAGGATTCACCAACCAACACAAATTCCTCTATTGGTCTTAGATCAAAAGCCCATAAAAAGAGAGAATACATCTGTTCTATGTATTTTATACCCTTTCTAATTCTTCTTATCCCTAAGCAAAGGGGCCTTAAGTGCATGCTAAATCTATTCCTAGAATTTCCTAAAGTAATTTGCAGCTTTGAGTTTTCTACAAATAATACTCACCAGATAAAACGTTCAAAAGCCTCTCATCTTTATTCTACATATTGCTTTGGTTTTTAGGACATACATCTCCCAATTTTAAGAAGTCAATATACTTCGAATTGTTTGCCCTTTCACTACTCTGACATGTGGTTACCCAGTGATAAGGAATGGCAACACCTTCATTCCTTATCACTCCACTTGTGCCACAAACACTTGACTCTGGGTCACATCTTAAACACAGGTGAAGATCATTTTCTTGCATTCCTATGAGAAGAGATTCTTTTAAGAAACATAATAAATGTTCAACAAATGTTCACTGACTGCCTGACTTATGAGCACCTCCTGCTAATTTCTAAGCAGATTAGAGACACAACAAATCTCCAAGCAAGGCCACCTTCCTAGGACTGATCTAACCAGAGCACACAAAACCAATCAGCACTAAAATTAACCTCAGTTACACTGCTGGTTAAAGACAGTTCTTTGAAGATCCTTGCTGTACAGTGCCAGATCAACAGCTGTAGATTATCCAGAAATCTCTCCAGAGAACCTGTGGCTAAAAACTGCTACTGGGGCTCAGGAGAGAGCCAGTCCAGGCCTGGAGGCCATGGGTCTGAGGCCAGTGCACAGTTACAGCCTCAGCTTCTTATACTGTAGAGAAGTGGGACCTAAGCTACCCCTCTGAGTCAGCCAGCACATGTTAACAATGACTCAGGACATTATATTGATGGAGGTGCCATGGTTAACATCAACAGCTACTGACAAGGCCACACAATTACTCCACATAAATTTTTTTAAATTCTCCCTCACAATTGTTAATATTTTTAGGGTAGTTTTCAGATTAATGAAAGATAGGGAACTGGACTACTTTCTAAAGCACTGTTATATGTTCATCTCATTTCATCTTCATATATCCCTTATAATAAATAATATTATCTCCATCCTAGAAATGAAAAAATGAAACTCTGAGAAGGTAAGTGACTTGCCTATCACACATTTTTGAAGCCATGGAACCAGAGCCACCTCCTAGGTTTTTCTGTGCCCTTGGCCAAAGCTCTTTCTTCTGTGGCAAACTACCACTTGGGGTAGTCCGAGAAAAGAAAGGGGAGTCAGTGAGGAATTCAAGGATGGTTAGAGATTTCCTCCTGGAGACTGCTTTCAGATGTGTGACGACACACAGAGAGAGAGAAAAAGAGAGAAGGAGGGAGGGAAGGAAAGACAGAGGAAGAGAGCAAGGGAAGGAGGAGGGAGAAAAAGAAAAGGAAATGAGAGAGGATTGAAGGGAAGAGGAGGAGAGATAATTTAACCTACTCTTTCCTCTACTTCTCCAAGTAGACTTCATAATATATTTGCACAAAACGTACAGCATTTTTCACAATGAGAAATATGTCTAGCTTCAGTCAAAGGAGCTAGAATTTACAAATGTGTTGGAAAGTCATCTCATAATTTTAGAGTGACTTTTGCCAAACCAAGTGTTGTGTGTATTGATTTGCCTCCCTCTCTGCCACTGGACATTGCTGCTGTGTTTCTGACATGACGGCCATCCGTGACACAGAGGCAGGAAATCCATGAGGCATGGTGGCAACTCCACTCCAAGGGACTGCTTAAGGCGTTGGGTGTTATGTCCTGGTGGTGGAGGTGATGGGGGGTGAAGATGCAAAACAGAGGCATTAAATTTACCTTTTGCTATTGATTTTCCACAGAAATCTTATCTTGTTTTCCTAAATCCTTGGCTATAAAAAAGCTCATTATTTTTAAGTATTTCGTAAGAACCTAAGTCTTCTTTCCATGTTGTGTCCAGAAATTTTTTTTAGGGACAATTTGAGGAAATATTTTGTGAAATACAACGAGAAAGACCATCCCTAACTGCTCCTTACATAATAGAGCTTCTGGGGGCCGATGTTAGAAACATCCGATTATAAACTGTAGGCCTTTTGATTACTAAAGTATAATAATTAGATTATATAGAAATGTCCTTAACTATGGTGCTGAACGGAACAAAATAACTGGTAATTGGTCTCAACCAGAGTAAATAATGTCCTTCCTTTTATTTACATTTGGTTTTTCTATAAACTGCCTACTGGGTTGTGTGGAACTCAAGAGGCTAGCAAAAAACTGAATCCCCATCCATCAGTATTAATCTCACACTCTACTGTGGCTCCATCCATTTATCTTTCCGACACAAATTAGAAATTCAAGAGTTTTAACAAATGAGCCTGCAAATGTAAACTTATTAGGCCATATATTTTTACTACACACTGTGCAGTGCTCTCCACAAAGCTGTCCCTTCAGAGAGCATTTTCCTATTTTGTGTTATTGATGGCAGCTAACTAATCACATTTTTAATGTTGTCTTTGGGGAGGGCTGTTTGAGTGAATGTGCAAGCTAAACTACCCAGAATAAATCTACCTTATTAAATGCTTGAAATTATGTGTCTTTTACGATAAAGAAACTCCCGAGCATTGTTACATTTGCTAACCTTCTTTTGCAGGAATCAAAAGACTGGGATTAATTAAAATAATACATCAAAACTGGGGTGTTGTACAGAATGTGTCTATGTGTGAGGAAAGGCCAAGAAAAATTGGTTAATTGGTCTCTTCATCCCTATTCACTCTCCTCCATCTAAATAGCTTTAAGTGTTGCTTTCTGAAATGGAACTACAATAACATGAGCTGGGGAGGAAGACTCACTCCAACTGTTCGCTAGACAATGGCTGGTCTCTACCCCACCACCCCTGCCCCCCAGAAATTCCTTCTGGTTGACACAGTGCATATTTGATTAACAAAGAACTTCAAAAAATTTGGTCCTTAGACTTGAATGCTTGAAAACACATAGGAAGCATAAATATATTGTGACCCTAGCATTGTATTTCATCTAAACAAAGATGCACTTATTTAAATGCCTCTGAATAATGTCATCTTTCACAAGTATCAAAAGAAAACATCTGGCAGGTAAATGCTTCCCTCAAAGCCCAGGTCTGCTTTTCCTTTAGCTATGATGGGCAATCTAACGGTAGGCCTCTCTCAGTCCTGGGTACAATCACTCCGCTATTGAGAGGTGGGCTAATTACTGGCAAGTCTTTTATTACTGAGCTCAAGTACTAATCTGAGCCCCGAGTGCATCTGCTTTCTACTTCTCTGTAAGTTTTGCAGTCTCAGAAGCAAATGTAAATATGGCCACAATTCTGGGTTGTCACATAAATTTCAAGGGTAAGGAATGAGGTGTAAGCTTGAGTAGAGGGAATGGGATGGTTTGGGAATCAGAACTCTCAGTGGCACAAGTGGTAGAGAATTTGGACTCTATATCAGTACGTACCCTTCAGGACATAAAGACATGTAATAGTAATTTACCTAAAGGAAAAAAAAACGTTTGGAAAGTGGGAAGATAGAGTGAGAACTCAAATTTCTGCCAATTATTTTCCAGTTACTTGACTGTCCCACTTAAGAAGCAAGGCTTTTGTGAAACTGACATTTAAACACAATAAACATATGCTAGTCATTGAAATTAAAGTCACAAGCATTTCAAGACCATGTAATAGACGGTTTTAGTGTTCCTCTGCAATCAGAGTTCCTCTCTTTTACTTAGCTTGGAGGAGAAACATAAACTTGATTAGCACTTAACTAAAGTATAATGGCTGATAAATTGTCCTTAATGTTTCAAAACTAGACAACTATGCTAAGGTTGCCTAGAAATTACTTCTTGACTACACAGACACACTCATTTTTTCTCACTAAGTCACAGGAATCAACAATTTAAGAACACACTGGCTTTCTTGAAGCATATTTCTTGTTTATCTTAGATTACTTAGAGTAATTATTTAACTGTTACATTTAGCAAAGGTGCA
Source organism: Homo sapiens (assembly GCF_000001405.40). NCBI lineage: Eukaryota > Metazoa > Chordata > Mammalia > Primates > Hominidae > Homo > Homo sapiens. The sequence continues at coordinate 79,270,916 of NC_000013.11, forward strand.
ATCCAAAGAGAAAGACTGAAGAGGTAAAGGGTGTTATGAATGGCGGAGGTAAAATTCACTAGAAAAGTCTTTTGTATTGGAATTTGGCTTGAAAAATGCAAGAAAATGTTTATTTTGCTCACTCTGCAAATATTTACTGAGCACCTATTACGAACTGAGTCAGATGCTGTTTACAGAAAGACAAAGATACTGGGTTGGTAAAAAAGTTATTGAGGTTTTTGCCATTACTTTTAATGGCAAAAACCACAATTATTTTTGCACCAACCTAGTAATAGCCCCCTGCTCTCTAGGAGTTACTGGAGGACACAGCTCTGCTCCGTAAGCAGCTAATGAAATTTGCCAGGCACTAGTATAGAAACATAAACCAAGAGTTTGGGAGCTCAAATAATCACTAAAGAAATGTTCCCGTCCCTCAAAATTATACGTGTTATAAGGCATAAAATCTAAATTACACTTGCTTTCATTGCATTCTCAGGGGGAAAAAAATCCATTTGCTGTTAACGTTAATGGGATCAATATTCACATTTTAAATAGTAGCATTGTTACGTTCATTGTAAAACAGATGAAACACCACATCATAGGGAAGTTTTTTTTTAAGTTGAGTTTAAACAGAATTAAATAAATATTCATTTCAAACATCCCATGCTAAGGGATATTTACTCTTAAAAAGCACCCTTCAATTAATCCTTTATTTAAGCAAAGAACCCTTTTGCAATATGAACAATCTCCATATGTATTTGCACCATAAGCCTGGATTTTCATATATTAGATTTCAATGGCAAAAAATCTTAGTGATAGGTCCCCAGGCAACATATTGCATTGTCTTTTTGGGTCATGACACTGCCTGTGCTAGCAACGAATAGAACAAAAGACATTAAAAGCACTAATCCTTGCCCTCAGGATAAGGTCCAAGCTCCTTAACCTTTCATGGATCTGGTCCCTGCTTAATCCTCCAGGCTTTGATTGAGTGACATAAAATAGTGGCACCTCTGTCAGCCTGGTTGCTGAATGACTACATGGAACAGAGACACCCCCACCTCCACCACTGGTCCTTCTGGTCATTTGGATATATAATGTGAGCCATAAATCAATCATGTTTCCTAAGCCCCTGGATTCAGGGGCTGTTTGTCAAAACAGCATAGCCTAGCCTCCCTTAGCTCTTTGTCAACCATAGTCTAGTGTTTCCAGAGGAATATTTTCCATACTTGGGCACTCAAGTACCATCTTCACAACTTTTTACATACCTCAATACTGTCTTCACTTCCATCAATTTAAATTTATTTACCTAAATACATTTATGTTAAAATAAATTTCATATGACTATTGGAAATTGAAAACCAGTATTACTTCCAATAAGTAGAAACTGACTGTAAAAACTATAACTCTTAAAATAAGGTGTTTATCTATGTAACACCTTCAAATTTCTGATGTACCACTGGTGTAGACCTAATACACTCTTAGAAATGCTGGTCTAGAAAAGACAGACATGGTCCTTGATGTCCAAAATAATTGTTTTAGTACCAACTTCATCACCTACTTTGTGTCTTCAGGTAAGTTACCTGACTTCTCTGAGCCTCAGATATTTTATCTCTATTTTATAAAGTGGAAAACTTTTATCTCTATTTTATAAAGTGGAAAACTATAAAATTTTATTACATAAAATTAATTTGCAGATTAAATGAGAAATAGATGTGAAATTCTTGGCACATATTTTTAAGTGCACAATTCAGTGGTTTTTAGAATACTGGCACACTTTTAATGCTCAGAAATATCAGATGTTGTTGTCAGTGATGTCCCATAAGCGCTAGATTGTGAGCTCCCTGAGGTCCTGTGTTTATTCATCTGTGGGACCTCATAACACCCAGTGCTGTCTTTTGCACATTGGAGGTGCCAAGTAAATGTTTATTGAAATAGTCTGCATAGTCAATGATTTCCCATCTTGTCTGTGGAGGTTTTTTTCCATCCCCATATGCATCCAATCAACCAACCAGTTAATTGGTTCTGAAGGTAAATTGGTTTGTAGGTAAATCCACTTTGACTAGGGTTTGCCTGCTTCTCAGTCATAGACTAATTGAGGGTTATCTTCTTTTCAAGCTATTATTTCTCAAAACAAATCTGTATCTTGTCTTTTAGTTTGAAGATTTACTAACTAGTAGCAGAAAGGATCTCAAGTTTGAAGGTTTGATGAATGTAATTATAACAGAAGAAAAAGTGGATTTTACTTACAGAAACCACAGAGTCCACAACATTTAGTGTTGATTACTGCTCACCTTTCAAGTGTTTAAGCACACAGAATCTAAACTTGGACAAATATGGTTTATGCCAAGGTTCAAGAACAAGTTACACAACATCTTTGGTCCTTAGTTTTCTCCTCTGGCCTTATTAATGGCAGTCTCTTAGAATTGACACAGGATCAAATGAGAGAATGAACAGAGCTTAAATGGGTTTAGAACAGGCCTGGGACATAGCAAGAGCTTAATACATGTTAACTATTATTATAATTCTGTTTACACCTGATGATTATGATTACAAAAATTTAGATTCTGACTAACTGTAAGAATTCTTTTTTTTTTCTTTTTCTTTTTTTTTTTATTTTTATTTTTTGAGATAGAGTCTCACTCTGTCACCAGACTGGAATGCTGTCGTGCAATCTCAGCTCACTGCAACCTCCGCCTCCCAGGTTCAAGTGATTCTCCTGCCTCAGCCTCCCGAGTAGCTGGGACTACAGGTGTGTGCCACCACACCTGGCTAATTTTTGTATTTTTAGTAGAGACGGGGTTTCACCATGTTGGCCAGGATGGTCTCGATCTCCTGACCTTATGATCCGCCCACCTCAGCCTCCCAAAGTGCTAGGATTACAGGCGTGAGCCACTGCACCTGGCTAACTAAGTATAAGAATTCATACATTGAATCACTGTAAACATTTCAAGCAGCTAAAGAAAGAGCTTTGGGCATCCTACAACTGTCTTCTTTATATTTTTGTTTCAATTCCCTCATTTTATTGACCAGGATAAGCTAGATTATGCTGTGATTTGAAAAAAATAAAAATGATTCTGACAAAAGTGTATCACTCATTCTTCCAGGTCTGCTATGGGTCCAGATGACACACAACAGTCCAGGACAGCTGGTCACTTGTTGGTTTCATTCTCTCTTTGATATGGTTTGCGTCAGGCCTCTGAGCCCAAGCTAAGCCATCATATCCCCTGTGACCTGCACGTACACATCCAGATGGCCGGTTCCTGCCTTAACTGATGACATTCCATCACAAAAGAAGTGAAAATGGCCTGTTCCTGCCTTAACTGATGACATTCTCTTGTGAAATTCCTTCTCCTGGCTCATCCTGGCTCAAAAGCTCCCCCACTGAGTACCTTGTGACTCCCACTCTGCCTGCCAGAGAACAACCCCTCTTTGACTGTAATTTTCCTTTACCTACCCAAATCCTATAAAACAGCCCCACCCCTATCTCCCTTCACTGACTCTCTTTTCGGACTCAGCCCACCTGCACCCAGGTGAAATAAACAGTTTTATTGCTCACACAAAGCCTGTTTGGTGGTCTCTTCACACAGACGCGAGTGAAATTTGGTGCCATGACTTGGATCAGGGGACCTCCCTTGGGAGATCAATCCCCTGTCCTCCTGTTCTTTGCTCTGTGAGAAAGATCCACCTACGACCTCAGGTCCTCAGACCAACCAGCCCAAGAAACATCTCACCAATTTCAAATCCGGTAAGCAGCCTCTTTTTACTCTCTTCTCCAACCTCCCTGTCCCTCAACCTCTTTCTCCTTTCAATCTTGGCACCACACTTCAATCTCTCCCTTCTTTTAATTTCAATTCCTTTCATTTTCTGGTAGAGACAAAGGAGACACGTTTTATCCGTGGACCCAAAACTCCGGCACCGGTCATGGACTGGGAAGGCAGCCTTCCCTTGGTGTTTAATCATTGCAGGGACGCCTCTCTGATTATTCACCCAGGTTTCAGAGGTGTCAGACCATGCAGGGACGCCTGCCTTGGTCCCTCACCCTTAGCGGCAAGTCCCGCTTTTCTGGGAGAGGGGCAAGAACCCCGACCCCTTCTCTCTGTGTCTCTACCCCTTCTGCGCCTTTCTGGGGGGCAAGAAACCCCCAACCCCTTCTCCTTCACCCTTAGCAGCAAGTCCCGCTTTTCTAGGGGAGGGTCAAGTACCCCAACCTCGTATCTCTGTGCCCCGATCCCTTATTTCCATGCCCCGACCTCTTATATCTCTGCGCCTCAATCCCTTATTTCCATGCCCCAACCTCTTATATCTCTGCACCCCGATCCCTTATTTTCACGCCCCAACCTCTTATCTCTGTGCCCCAATCCATTATTTCCATGCCCCAACCTCATATCTCTGTGCCCCGACCCTTTTCCCGCTTTTCTGGAGGGTAAGAACCCCCAAACCCCTTCCCTCCATGTCTCTACTCTCTCTTTTCTCTGGGCTTGCCTCCTTCACTATGGGCAACCTTCCACCCTCCATTCCTCCTTCTTCTCCATTAGCCTGTGTTCTTAAGAACTTAAAACCTCTTCAACTCTCACCTGACCTAAAAGCTAAGCATCTTATTTTCTTCTGCAATGCTGCTTGACCCCAATACAAACTCGACAGTAGTTCCAAATAGCCAGAAAACGGCACTTTCAATTTTTCCATCCTGCAAGATCTAAATAATTCTTGTTGTAAAATGGGCAAATAGTCTGAGGTGCCTGACGTCCAGGCATTCTTTTACATATCAGTCCCTCTCTAGTCTCTGTTCCCAATGCAACTCATCCCAAATCTTCCTTCTTTCCCTCCCACCTGTCCCCCCAGTCCCAACCCCAAGTGTTGCTGAGTCTTTCTAATCTTCCTTTTCTACAGACCCATCTGACCTCTCCCCTCCTCCCCAGGCTGCTCCTCACCAGGCCGAGCTAGGTCCCAATTCTTCCTCAGCCTCCGATCCCCCACCCTATAATCCTTTTATCACCTCCCCTCCTCACACCTGGTCCGGCTTACAGTTTCGTTCCGTGAGTAGCCCTCCCCCACCTGCCCAGCAATTTACTCTTAAAAAGGTGGCTGGAGCTAAAGGCATAGTCAAGGTTAATGCTCCTTTTTCTTTATCCCAAATCAGATAGCGTTTAGGCTCTTTTTCATCAAATATAAAAACCCAGCCCAGTTCATGGCTGGTTTGGCAGCAACCCTGAGACACTTTACAGCCCTAGACCCTAAAAGGTCAAAAGGCCGTCTTATTCTCAAAATACATTTTTTTTACCCAATCTGCTCCTGACATTAAATAAAACTCCAAAAATTAAATTCTGGCCCTCAAACCCCACAACAGGATTTAATTAACCTCGCCTTCAAGGTGTACAATAATAGAAAAAAGTTGCAATTCCTTGCCTCCACTGTGAGACAAACCCCAGCCACATCTCCAGCACACAAGAACTTCCAAACGCCTGAACCGCAGCAGCCAGGCATTCCTCCAGAACCTCCTCCCCCAGGAGCTTCCTACAAGTGCCAGAAATCTGGCCACCAGGCCAAGGAATGCCTGCAGCCCAGGATTCCTCCTAAGCCACCTCCCATCTGTGCGGGACCCCACTGGAAATCGGACTGTCCAACTCACCTGGCAGCCACTCCCAGAGCCCCTGGGACTCTGGCCCAAGACTCCCTGACTGCTTCCCAGATCTTGGCTTAGCGGCTGAAGACTGACACTGCCCGATCGCCTGGGAAGCCCCGTAGACCATCACGGACGCTGAGCTTCGCGTAACTCTCACAGTGGAAGGTAAGTCTGTCCCCTTCTTAATCAATATGGAGGCTACCCACTCCACATTACCTTCTTTTCAAGGGCCTGTTTCCCTTGCCTCCATAACTGTTGTGGGTATTGACAGCCAGCCTTCTAAACCTCTTAAAACTCCCCAACTCTGGTGCCAACTTAGACAATACTCTTTAAAGCACTCCTTTTTAGTTATCCCCACCTGCCCAGTTCCCTTATTAGGCCAAGACACTTTAACTAAATTATCTGCTTCCCTGACTATTCCTGGATTACAGTTACATCTCATTGCTGCCCTTCTTCCCAATCCAAAGCCTCCTTTGCGTCCTCCTCTTGTATTCCCCCACCTTAACCCACAAGTATAAGATACCTCTACTCCCTCCTTGGCGACCGATCATGCACCCCTTACCATCTCGTTAAAACCTAATCACCCTTACCCTGCTCAATGCCAATATCCCATCCCACAGCATGCTTTGAAAGGATTAAAGCCTGTTATCACTCACCTGCTACAGCATGGCCTTTAAAAGCCTATAAACTCTCCTTACAATTCCCCCATTTTACCTGTCCTAAAACCAGACAAGCCTTACAAGTTAGTTCAGGATCTATGCCTTATCAACCAAATTGTTTTGCCTATCCACCCCATGGTGCCAAACCCATATACTCTCCTATCCTCAATACCTCCCTCCACAATCCATTATTCTGTTCTAGATCTCAAACATGCTTTCTTTACTATTCCTTTGCACCCGTCATCCCAGCCTCCCTTCACTTTCACTTGGACTGACCCTGACACCCATCAGGCTCAGCAAATTACCTGGGCTGTACTGCCACAAAGCTTCACAGACAGCCCCCATTACTTAAGTCAAGCCCAAATTTCTTCCTTATCTGTTACCTATCTCAGCATAATTCTCACAAAAACATACGTGCTCTCCCTGCTGATCGTGTCTGATTAATCTCCCAAACCCCAATCCCTTACAAAACAACAACTCCTTTCCTTCCTAGGCATGGTTAGTGCAGTCAGAATTCTTACACAAGAGCCAGGACCGCACCCTGTAGCCTTTCTGTGCAAACAACTTGACCTTACTGTTTTAGCCTAGCCCTCATGTCTCCGTGCAGCGGCTGCTGCCGCCCTAATACTTTCAGAGGCCCTCAAAATCACAAACTATACTCAACTTACTCTCTACATTTCTCATAACTTCCAAAATCTATTTTCTTCCTCATACCTGACGCATATACTTTCTGCTCCCTGGCTCCTTCAGCTGTACTCACTCTTTGTTAAGTCCCACAATTACCATTGTTCCTGGCCCGGACTTCAATCCAGCCTCCCACATTATTCCTGATACCACACCTGACTCCCATGACTGTATCTCTCTTATCCACCTGACATTCACCCCATTTCCCCATATTTCCTTCTTTCCTGTTCCTCACGCTGATCACGCTTGATTTACTGATGGCAGTTCCACCAGGCCTAATCGCCACACACCAGCAAAGGCAGGCTATGCTATAGTACAAGCCACTAGCCCGGCTCTTAGAACCTCTCATTTTCTTTCCATCGTGGAAATCTATCCTCAAGGAAATAACTTCTCAGTGTTCCATCTGCTATTCTACTACTCCTCAGGGATTATTCAGGCCCCCTCCCTTCCCTACACATCAAGCTCGAGGATTTGCCCCCACCCAGGACTGGCAAATTAGCTTTACTCAACATGCCCCGAGTCAGATAACTCTGATAACTAAAATACCTCTTAGTCTAGGTAGACACTTTCACTGGATAGGTACAAGCCTTTCCTACAGGGTCTGAGAAGGCCACTGCAGTCATTTCTTCCCTTCTGTCAGACATAATTCCTCAGTTTAGCCTTCCCACCTCTATACAGTCTGATAACAGACCAGCCTTTATTAGTCAAATCAGCCAAGCAGTTTTTTAGGCTGTTAGTATTTAGTGAAACCTTTATATCCCTTACGGTCCTCCATCTTCAAGAAAAGTAGAACGGACTAAAGGTCACCTCACCAAGCTCAGCCACCAACTTAAAAAGGAATGGACAATACTCTTACCACTTTCGCTTCTCAGAATTCAGGCCTGTCCTCGGAATGCTACAAGGTACAGCCCATTTGAGCTCCTTTTTATTAAGCCCCAGTCTCATTCTAGACACCAGACCAACTTGGGCTGTGCCCCAAAAAACTTGTCATCCCTACTGTCTTCTGTCTAGTCATACTCCTATTCACCGTTCTCAACTATTCATACATGCCCTGCTCTTGTTTACACTGCCAGTTTACACTGTTTCTCCAAGCCACCACAGCTGATATCTCCTGGTGCTATCCCCAAACCGCCACTCTTAACTCTAAAGGAAATAAATAATCTTTACTGGCAAGGCTATGCTGAACCTCCTTAGGCACTCTCTAATCAGATGTCCTGGGTCTTCCCAATTCTTAGTCCTTTAATACCTGTTTTTCTCCTTCTCTTATTCCTTTTAGTTTTTCAATTCATACAAAAATGTATCCAGGCCATCACCAATAATTCTAAATGACGAATGTTTCTTCTAACAGTCCCACAATATCACCCCTTACCACAAAATCTTCCTTCAGCTTAATCTCTCCCACTCTAGGTTCCCACGCCACCCCTAATCCCGCTCAAAGCAGCCCTGAGAAACATCGCCCATTCTCTCTCTCCATACCATCCCCCAAAATTTTCACCGTACCAACACTTTACCACTATTTCATTTTATTTTTCTTATTAATATAAGAAGACAGGAATGTCAGGCCTCTGAGCCCAAGCTAAGCCATCATATCCCCTGTGACCTGCACGTACACATCCAGATGGCCGGTTCCCGCCTTAACTGATGACATTCCACCACAAAAGAAGTGAAAATGGCCTGTTCCTGCCTTAACTGATGACATTCTCTTGTGAAATTCCTTCTCCTGGCTCATCCTGGCTCAAAAGCTCCCCCACTGAGTACCTTGTGACTCCCACTCTGCCCGCCAGAGAACAACCCCCCTTTGACTGTAATTTTCCTTTACCTACCCAAATCCTATAAAACGGCCCCACCCCTATCTCCCTTCGCTGACTCTCTTTTCGGACTCAGCCCGCCTGCACCCAGGTGATTAAAAGCTTTATTGCTCACACAAAGCCTGTTTGGTGGTCTCTTCACACGGACGCGAGTGAAAGTTTGGATTTGTGTCCCGACCCAAATCTCATGCCAAATTGTAATCTCCAGTGTTGGAGGAGGGGCCTGGTGGTAGGTGATTTGATCATGGGGGCGGATCTCCCCCTTGCTGTTCTCGTGATAGTAAGTGAGTTCTCATGAGATCTGGTTGTTTAAAATTGTCTAGTACCGTCCGCTGCTCTCTTCCCCCTGCTCCAACCATGTAGGCCGTGCCTGCTTCCCCTTTGCTTTCTCCATGATCGTGTTTCTTGAGGCCTCCCCCGCCATGCTTCCTATACAGCCTGCAGAACTGTGAGTCAATTGAACCCCTTTTCTTTATAAATTACCCATTCTCAGGTAGTTCTTTATAGCAATGCAAGAACAAACTAATACATTCCTGCTTCTGTCTCAGGGCGCCTCCACAGCAACATGCACATCCCTGATCAATTGTTGTGAGAGGGAAGAGCAGGCTAACAGGCAGTCACGACTAACACGTAATACTTCCCCTCACTCGCCTTGGCCAAAGCATATCGCAAAGCATGCTTATCCTTTAGGGGCAGCAGGTGGGGAAAAGCAGCCCACTCACCTGCCAAAAGTGGAGGAAAAGCAGACATCAAAGAGGAGTGGTAATTCCTGCCATGATTGTAAAGGATCATATTAATCACTTCTCCAGTGACTGCGGCTTGGCTGTTGTAATTTCTCAAAGTTCTTAATAAAAAGCTATCGTTACGTTACAAATCCAATAGAACACTTAACAAAATTCCATAGCAGGTGTTAAAGGTCATGAAAGGAGAGCTCTACTAAAACATTGTTAATTCCCACCTAATTTCAGGGATTTGTGGTAGCTTCTTTTCCCACTCTGAACGCTGATCTTGCCCCATACTAGAAGAAAATAAGTTTCTACCTCCCTGTCCTCACAGAACCAAAAAAAGAGACCTAATTATTGGATCCAATCCAATGTAGAATTTGGACTTTAATCCATATCATTATATGACTTTTCTAAGCAGGGGAACAACCCACAGAAAATCACCTACAGAAGAAAGAGATGTTCCTATTTCAATGGCTTCTTTCAACTTTCCTCCCTTCTCTTGAAAAATAAAAACTTTCTGGTTAATTCTCTGACGTGTTTAAGCTGCCTCTTTAGCTTGTTTTTTTCATTCACTGTCAAATTACTGAAACAAGTAATATCTTCTAATTCTTGTTCATCATTTTCTATTTCCTTATTTAATGTAATTGTCAAATTTGATCTTCAAATCTGCATCCAATCTTAATCACCCCAGCTACAGACACACTGTACCACTTGAGTATTTCACTTCACCTATCTAGAATCACGTTCATACTTTTCCCCACCAAGCCAGTACTCTTGGTTGCTTATTTTAGTTAATATTTTGCCCAAGTTTGAAACGTCAATAAACTTTGAAATCTTCATCCATTTTAGCCCTAAATTGTATCCATCAACAGAAGCTATTAATTCTTTTTATGAAATGTCTCTTTTGTATGTTGTTCCCTTTCAATTTTTCACCATCATTATACGTAGTGTGATGCTTTGTACCTCACACCTGGACCATCAACATCCTCTTCTAACTGGTCTCCTTTGCTGCAGGCTTTTCTGCACCTTCTGATTTCAGCATGCCACCTGCATAATCATCCTAAAACATCACTTTTGTTATGTTAATTTCCCAGCGGGGGTGGGAAGGACCCTTTTATAGCCTGCCGCTACATACAGCGTAAATACCAACCCCTTTTCATCATTGGAGCTTTTGTCTTGGGCATGAATTTCCTCCTACATAAAATCAAATTGCTCACTGGCCTTAAGAAGGATCATCTATTTTCTCATTCTCTGCCTTTCCCCAGCCATCCCTCTGCCTGGCATGTGGCCTCCCATCCTCACTTGGACAAATCCCTTTTGTCATTTACAGCTTAGTCCTAATGCCTCCCTACACTCTTTCTGAACCATGGTTAGCTCTATAAATATAACATCATTTGTGTACGAGTAGTCACAGAACAGCATCCCACAGAATGCCACTCAGATGTCTTTTTCTTGGTCAACATGGTGATGGTGTTTTTGCTGCTATTTAAACTAAATTTTAATGCTTTCAGGGACCACGTATACTCTTCAGTTCCCTTAGCACTTGAGTTCCAAAACCCTTGTCTATGTCATGTCATGCTGGTGGCATTATTTCATGATTTTTATCTGTAAAATTTTAAAAATGTATTGTTTATTTTTCTGACTAACTTGTATGTTTCCTAAGGTCAGGGAAATGTTTTATACAATTAGAAATTTAAGCAGGGCAAGAGGAGTGGAAAGCACTTTGTAAACATAATTAGCCAAAGAGTTGCTGAGTGCTACATCTCTTTTATTCCAAGCCCTTCAACACTAAGACCAGGAGGGTATCTTAGAACCACTCAGGTACAGAAATGGTTTCAGTCACTGGGGAAGAGAAATGAACGTTTTCTCTTTTTTCCTCTGCTTTGCACCAAACTGAAAACACTCATTTTCATGTAATTTATGGATTCCTTCAGCTTTTTACTCCCGTTAAACTTAATTACTCGAAGAAAAATTTCTCATGTAAAAACATTCCTTTGGGAGATCTTCAAATCCCAAATAAAAGAAGTAGGTGTCTAAGCAGGTAAGTCCAATATGAAAAATTGAGGAAAGATTATTTTAAAAAAAAAAATCAAATTCAGCAGAAGGAAGCAAAGAATCTCAGTTGTTTACAATGGTTTGAAGATGGGAATGAAAAAATATTTGCAGGAAATATTTGGAGAAAAGAACAGGAGTAGGAATATAGTAACGATTAAAATAGTCAATAAACTACTATATATGAAGTGCCTGATACCAGCCAAGATTTCACAGACCATATACCACGGTAACCATGTGACGTTGGTATGGTTGTTTTCATTCCAAAGATAAATAATCAAAGTTCACGGAATCTACCTGAAGTTACACCACTGATAAGTGATAGCATTGGGATTTAAACAGGCATCTGAACCAAAAGCCTCCATTCTTAGAACTAGAATACACAGTGTCCTAATAGAATAAAATAGAAATAGTAGGCTTAGTAGATGACAGTTCATATACTAGTTTAACTAATAAAAACTTATAAGTTGATTTAAAAAAAGTACGTAATTCAGAAGAACGCTTCTAACACTGTCATGACATAAACAATGGTTGAGAAGAACTATTGCCATGTGAAATGAATAAGAAAGGGAGTGCTAGACATAGACACAGTATTACAAGAAAAGACCATGGCAGTAGGTTACAGAGTGCTCAGTCTGGGCTTTGACTTTGAGCTGAGGGAGACACAAGACAGGAAATGCTAGCAAGATCACTGGTGAGGGCAGAGGTTGCAGCTGATATTATGAAACGGTTCAGTCTTTTTGGGATGATGATTTTGCAATATGACTCAAAACCAATAAAATGATTACGCCATATGAAACGGGAATCTCACCTCTGCAGACTTAACTCAGAAGAGTAATAAAAAAAGCAGGGAGGGGGGTGCAGGGAGGTAAAGGAGCATGACTGAACAAAGATACTGATAGCTGCATGTATTTATAAAAGAAAACAAAAACTAGTAATAATATGGATGGTTGTGGAAATATTTGGTAAACTACAGAATATTATATAAAGCTATGAAAATGCTAAATGTGATTGCTTAGAAACCTCAGAAACTATTTAAAATTGGTCAAAGGGAAAAGTAAAGCATTAATATTGAATGCACTATAATACTAGCTACAATTTTTGGATAATTACTCTTTGCTGAATTCTGTTCCAAAGTGTTACATGCATTAACTCACCGAAAATTAGTAAGTAGGCCAGGTGCAGTGGCTCACACCTATAATCCAAGCACATTGGGAGGCCAAAGTGGGGAGGATTGCTTGACCTCAGGAGTTCAAGACCAGCCCAGGCAACATGACAAGACCCAACCCTGTCTGGGCAAAAAATTAAAAAATTAGTTGGACAAAGTAGCACGTGCTTGTGATTCCAGCTACTTGTGAGGCTGAGGCAGGAGGATTGCTTGAACCCAGAAGGTTGAGGCAGCAGTGAGCCATATTAATGCCACTGTGCACCAGTCTGGGTGACAGAGCAAGATTCTATCACAGAAAGGACAGGCAAAGGAAAAGGAAAAGGAAAGGAAAGGAAAGGGAAAAGGAAAGGAAAGGAAAAGAAAGGAAAGGAGAAAAGAGAAGAAAAGAAAAGAAAGGAAACCAAAAATTACTGAAGAGGAATTAGCATGACTTAGAAGTAGAATATAAGTGGAATAGACTATTTTGTTTCTACTCTGTATAAGGCCTTGTAGCGTCTTAAGAGATTTCCCTGGTGATGGTTTCTTTCAATCCTTCTTGGGATGTTAAATTAAGTTCTGCAGTCTTCTCACAATTTTGGTTTCAAAACATAAAAACGCCTCATAAGTAATATTTACCAATATTGTTCATATGTAACTAGTTGAAATATATACCTGCAGACACAGAGACTTTCATTCACAAAACAAGAAATTATAGTAATAACGACATAAAAATCAAGCCAACTTTGTTTTATTGTACTTTACAGACATGGTGTTTTTCTGGTTTTTTGTTTTTTTTGTTATTTTTTTTTTGGAGATGGAGTCTTGCTCTGTTGCCCAGGCTGGAGTGTAGTGGCCCGATCTCAGCTCACTGCAACCTCTACCTCCTGTGTTCAAGCAATTCTCCTGCCTCAGCCTCCCAAGTAGCTGGGATTACAGGCGCCCACAACCTCACCTGGCTAATTTTTGTATTTTTAGTAGAGACAGGGTTTCGCTATGTTGGCCTGGCTGGTCTTGAACACCACACTTCAGGTGATCTGCCTGCCTTGGCCTCCCAAAGTGCTGGGATTACAGGTGTGAGCCACCTTACCCGGCCTCTGTTGTTGGTGGTGGTTTGCTTTAAGCACGGGCTCTCACCATGTTGTCCAGGCTGGAGTGCAGTGGCTACTCACAGGCGCCATCATAGCTCATGCCTCCAACTCCTGGCCTCGAGCAGTCCTCCGCAGTAGCTGGGACTACAGGCATGCACTACTGCACCTGGTCTGACCTTGAATTTTTTACAAGTAATGGAAGGTTTGTGGCAACTCTGAACAGAGCAAGTCTGTTGGTACCATTTTTCCAACAGCATGTACTCACTTTGTGTCTTTGTGTCACATTTTTGTAATTCTTACAATGTTTCAAACTTTTTCATTATTAACATATCTGTTATGGTGATCTGCAATCAGTGATGTTTGATGTTACTATCGTAATTGTTTGGGGGCGCCACAAACCACACCCATGTAAGGTGGTGAACTTAACCAATCAATGTCTGTGTTCTGGCTGCTCCACCCACCAGCCATTCCCCTGTCTCTCTCCCTCTCCTCAGGCCCTCCCTATTCCCTGAGAAATAACAATATTGAATTTAGGCAAGTTAGTAACCCTACAATGACCTGTAAGTGTTCAAGTGAATGGAAGAGTCACAAATCTCTCCTTTTAAATCAAAAGTTAGAAATAATTAAGCTTAGAGAGGAAGGCATGTCAAAGCTGAGACAGGCCAAAAGCTAAGACACTTGTGCCAGTTAGCCAAGTTGTGAACGCAAATAAAATGTTCTTGAAGGAAATTAAAAGTGCTACTCCAGTGCACACATTAATGATAAGAAAGCAAAACGGCCTTATTGCTGATATGGAGAAAGTTTGAGTGGTCCGGATAAGAAGATCAAACCAGCCACAACATTCCTATAAGCCAAAGCCTAATCCAGAGAAAGGCCTTAACTCACTTCAGTTCTTTAAAGGTTAAGAAAGGTGAGGAAGTTGTAGAAGAAAAGCCTGAAGCTATTGGAAGTTGGTTCATGAGGTTTAAGAAAAGAAGACACGTCTATAACACAAAAGTGCAAGGTGAAGCAGCAGGTGCTGATGCAGAAGCTGCAGCTAGTTTTCCAGAAAATCTAGTTAAGATCATTGATGAAGGTGGCTACACTAAATAGTAGATATTTAATTTAGACAAAACAGCCTTCCATTGAAAGAAGATGCCATCTAGGACTTTCATCTCTACAGAGAAGTCAGTCCCTGGCTTCAAAGCTTCAAAGGACAGGTTGACTGTCTTGTTAGAGTTAACGCAGTTGGTGACTTTAAGTTGAAGCCAATGTTCATTTACCATTCTAAAAGTCCTAAGGCCTTTAAGAATTATGCTAAATCTATTCTATTTGTGCTCTAGAAATGGAACAACAAAGCCTACCTCCCATCTGCTTTCAGCATGATTTACTGAATATCTTAAGCCCACTATTGAAACCTCAAACAAAAAGATTTATTTCAAAATATTACTGCTCATTGACAATTCACCTGGTCACCTAAGAGCTCTGATGGAGCTGTACAAGGAGATTTATGTTGTTTTCATGCCTGTAACACAACATCCATTCAGCAGCCCATGGATCAAGGAGTCATTTTAACTCTCAAGACTTATTATTTAAGAAATTCATTTTGTGAGGCTATAACTGCCATAGATTGGGATTCCTCTGATGGATCTGGGAAAGTAAATTGAAAATCTTCTGGATATGATTCACCATTCTAGATTCCATTAAGAACATTCATGATTCATGGAAGGAGGTCAAAATATCAGCATAACAAGAGTTGGAAGATTGTTACCATTTTTTAGCAATAAAGTATTTTTAAATTAAAGAAGGTACACTGCTTTTTAGACATAATGCTATTGCACAGTTAATAGACTACAGTATAGTGTAAACATAACTTTCACATGCTGGGAAACCAAAAAATGTAAAAGTGTGATATTCACTTTATTCTAGTGGTCTGGAACCAAACTTGCAATATCTCTGAGGTGTGCCTGTAGAAAAAGCCTACACAAAATGTACCAGGAGTGAAATATTTCCCTAGCTCTGTAAAAAAAAAAAAATTCACCTCTTAAATGTATCATTTGTGTTTCAAAGTAGTAAGCATTTCATACTATAATCTTTTTTTAAATAAAATGGGATGAAACATTGTAAAAAGATTTGTGCACACTCAAATTTTCAAATTGGATTTAATTTCTCAGCATTTCGGAGGTTGTAGCAAACAGAAAGACATATTGTTCTCTTTAGGATGCGACTGTGTAAATGCAAGAGTTATGTATGTGTTTGTATATATATATATACATACACACTAAATGCTGTATATACATGTGTATATCTATTTAAACATTTCTTCCATTAATCATTTCATATGACCTACTAAAAATAAATCCCAAAGGCATACTGCAATAAATGACACCACATCCAACTTTTGCAAACTGCAAACTGTCACTGTAATGTCACATTTCATTTCAACCCAATTTCAAGACTATACCCTTCCAATTCTCAAAGGTGATTTAAGCTATACTCAAGCTTAAAAGGTTTCAACTTTAGTTAATGCCATCTTCATTGTTGCCTGAACCTAAACTATTAGGAGCAAATTAATGCAGCAAAGCAGTCAGTGATATTGTTATAAACAAAGGAGACATTTTCTTGCATGACTTTTAGAAAATGAGTTTTTGACACTAGACAAACCACATGTGTATTGTTTTAATGGACATCAAGAAATTACTAACTTAAGGCCTATAAAAAGAAAACAGTTAAAGCTTCTATATAGCAAATACTGAACTGCATTGTGCATATAACACATGCAAGTTTTTTTAAATACCCATATTACATACCATTTAAAAGAGGTCCTGTGGTTGAGTGTTGTAGGCAAAGGAATTTTATCCATTGTTTCTAATACTACTTCAAACGGGATCATTTGAAACCTTGATTAAAAAGGTATACTGGTATGTCAGGTCAGATATTAGGGAAGAGGAATGTGCTTTTTAAGACCCATTATACAATTTTTGTTATTTGAGAAACAGAAAGTAAGAAACAAAATAACACATAGGTTTTAAAAACATAAAGCTTGCAACACCACCCATCTTTAAATTTCTTCTATCAAAAGGTTATATAAAGAAATAAAATGATCAAATGGAAGAGCACATGGAGGCATACACCAGCATTGCAAAAATCAATTTAAGAAGTGCAACTGCAGTTGTCTTTCCTGGGTTTTTAATTATGTGTTTGTTTGCCATGGTGGCCTAATTTAGTCAAGAAGATGAGCCAACATTAAAAGCTGGTAGGAGAGGTAAGTAATCCCCAGGGTGGGCTGCTTGTGCTCAAGAGTTTAAAAGCTACATAGACAGAGGCAGAAGCCAAGGCACATTTGAGAAGGGGGTCTGCATGACACACAGTGAAAGGCGAGCAAATCAAATTTTTCACAATTAGTTGAACAACAACTGTGACAGGTTTAGCGCTTAGCATTTTCATTTGTGTGCTCAAATTTGGTTATCTGTCCTCTTTTATGCAAATGCGATGTGACAGGAGAAGCTGGGAGCACTGGAGCAGGCCAATCATTCACAACAGGGGCTAGGGCTGAGCGGCTGAGAGGCCCGGATTAAATGGACTGAATGCTGATGGATAAATGACATGAGCCACGCTGAAAGCCTCATGAACTGATTTAAAACTTCTAAGGGAGGATGCCAAGGATATAATTATGCTTTATGCCCCGGCCTAAACTGTCAAAAATAAAAAGATAAAAGAAGAATATAAATTGTACCAAATGAATATTATCAGCATTCATAATTTAACTAAACCCAACATGTTTATCCTACACTGGAAAATAGATAAGATTGGAAAGCTGTGTTCTTCTACCACAGGCCTTAGGACTGAAGCAAAGTTTAAAAATTTACAAGTGAAGCACAATGGAAAGGAATTCCAGGCATCCAGCCTTCTTAATGGGGTGCCATCTCTAGGAGGGCAAGCATCCCCTCTACAAAGTTGGTATAGCCCGTTCATCTTTAACTGTTTCTTGACTCCATGGTACTAAGGTGATTTTGCAAAGGGGGCAGGTTCAGGGTGGCATCTCCTTTACATATAGGGCCTTGGGAGCACACCCACCAGCCCCGAGCAGGCTCTGAGGGACCATTTTTATGAATTTGTTGAGTGTCTGTCCTCTGTCCCACCCAGCACTAACATTCTATAATTCTATCAGGTTGAAAAAGTTGAAAAACAGTAGGGCTTGTTATCTTGTTTGCTTCACCTAGATCTTATGATTTTACCATCTCTCCAAGTTCTTAATAGAATGCTTTAAAACACTAAATTTCTTAGACAGCAACTGCCTGTCTGAAAACAGGAATCTCAACTATTGTCTTTGGTTCTTTTCAACATGACTGCAATTTCTCTATTATATTATTAATATCACTACACACATACACACACAACATTCTGAGAAGACATCAATGATTTTAGACAAAAAGACAGGAAAAGTCCACATGTATGTATCTTATAAGTAAGTAACATAGACATAAAGGGAGAATGTAATCTTAAATTCTTTTTAGAGAAAGGGAGGATGCCAAACAGTACAATACAATATGAAGGCAGGCAGAAAGTGAAGATGGTAGCAAAGTCAAACCATGTTTGAATGAGTTGTGTAATGCCTATATTCAATAAAATAAGTACATACATGTTAAAATAAAATATAATTTTCTTCAATAGTTGATGCTATTAGCTAATAGCAGTTTTTCCATTCTAGAAGAATCTTTGACATAATTTGTTAGTCCATTCTTAAAATTTATCAGTGTTTGCCACAGTATTAGCCTCCATAAAGAATGTCACAAAATTCAGAAAATGTTAATTGGTACACATATATATTTACAGGAACATCAAATTCAAAATACTAATACCTTGTGCAATATGCTAATATGTACAAAGTAATTAAATGTGTCTCACATTTAAGACATCTGAATATTACAAATAAAAGGGCAAACCACTTTTAAAATTTTTTATAGAAGTAAAAATATATACACAGAAAAGTGCACAAATCATAAGTGTGTCTAGTGGTGACATTTCATAGTAAACACACTGTGTAACCACCATCCAGATCAAGAAAGGGAGTGTCCCCAGTAGAGCAGAAGTCCCTGCCATGTCCTTTCTCAGTCACTGGCTCCTCCAAATGTAACCACTTCTCTAAATTCTGTCAGTGCAGCTTGGTTTTGCCTGCTTTTGAAATTCATACAAATCAAATTACATAAAATCTTTTCTTTGTGCTGGTCTTCTTTTGTGTGTGAGTGTTGGGGTGGGGGGTGTCTGACTTTACTATTATGTTTGTGGCATTTATCCATATTCCTGTGTAAGCAGCAGTTTATTCTTTTGCTTTGCATGACATTCCATTTTATTTACAGAATATTCTACCATTGGTGAACACCTAGGTTATTTTCAGTTTAGGGCTATTACAAATGCTGCTATGGACATTCTTGTACATTTACTCTGGTGCTCATGTATTTTCATTTCTACAGAGTATAGAGCTAGGAGTGGGATTGCTGGGTCTGTGGATGTACAAATATATTTTAATATGAATTTATAGCATTAGTGGATTCTCCATAGCAATTTTCTAAAATGGAACCAAGCACTCTATATAGTAAAGAAACACACTGTACCCTGTGAAATTTTCTTTAAGGTTACAAAAAGAAAAAACCAGCAAGAAAAAGAAAATTGGCCAAAACTAAATACACACATGACATGCACAACTCAAATTTAGAAAATAATGTGCCTAAATCAA
Source organism: Homo sapiens (assembly GCF_000001405.40). Lineage (NCBI taxonomy): Eukaryota > Metazoa > Chordata > Mammalia > Primates > Hominidae > Homo > Homo sapiens. The sequence continues at coordinate 79,290,394 of NC_000013.11, forward strand.
AACCTAAATGTTATTTTCTCCTAGCCCTGCCCCAACTGTGTATGTCTCACTGTGAAAGGATAGGAGGGGCAGTTTTGCTGTCAACTCTGATGCAATCTGCTTAAGGAGTTCATTAATTGTACTGTAAAATGATGATCTTGTTGAGGGGCCTCTCAAAAAGTGCTATGAGGCTAAAACTAGATATATCTGCCTGCAAAGTCTAATCTTATATGGCAGACATAGCACCCAATCTATAGCATTCAGAACATGGATCACATTTTTATTCCTCTAACACGTCTGGTTTTATCTTTTTGGGACAACAAAAGGTTTGTTGCAGTCTTAATCTGTAAATGTGCTTTTCCAGTAGGTTAAATGGGCAGAGTGCTCACTGTTCAGCCTCTTATCTATGCTTACCCAAGAGAGGGCCCAGATTACTCGAGAAGCCTAAGCAGGCTGCTCTGCTGCCACGATGGGAACACGCAGTTTAAGATGCAAATCCAATTGCTAACTTTATCTGCTGGGCATGCTAACACATGGCGACAGCTCCGAGTATCAGCAATGAAACCCTCCAGACAATGGTGAAGTCTATGTCAGGGAAATTTGCAGTCGGGTTCACCTTGCTCTGCCCAACAGTTTTCCGTTTTCTTTTTCCTCCTTTTTCTTTCTTTTTCTTTCCTTTCCTTCTTTTCCTTTCTTTCTTTCTTTTATTCTTTCTTTCTTTCTTTCTCTCTCTCTCTCTTCCTTCCTTCCTTCCTTCCTTCCTTCCTTCCTTCCTTCCTTCCTTCCTTTCTTTCTTTCTTGACATTTCACTGATTTTATTATTCTGAGTTTGGGGAAGGCAAAAATCAAAAACGGTTGTTAAAGGAGACAAAATCTGTCATAAGTATATAAACACAAGAAATATTTACAGTTAACATTGCAAAATCACACAACAAACAACAATGATTATTAGAAATGTAACCTTTTTTAAAAAAAAGCAAAGACTCAAGTTAGCCAGATCTGGTGGTACATGCCTGTAGTCCTAGCTACTCAGGAGGCTGAGGTGGGAGGATCACTTGAGCCCAGGAGGTTGAGGCTGCAGTGAGCCGTGTTTGTGCCACTGTACTCAGCCTGGGCCACAGTGCAAGACTCTGTCTCAAAATAAATAAACTAATTAAATAAAGGTAAGAACTGTTTTCAAAAACTATTTAAGAATATATGAAAAACCATCAACAGTTAACAGATTATTTTGGTGACAAAGGGAAACCTCTACTAATATGGGAAGAGAATAATTTAGTTATTTTTATTAAAAAAAACAAAAATCTAATTTTACTTCTTTTGTTCATTATTCATATAGTTACTTGTAGTAAAGTATTTATTAATATAACTTCATAAGTACATATTTAGTCATACATGGATATATAAATACAGATAGGCAACAGCTTTAAAGTTTTTTGGCTATAGTTTCAAAATAAAATTAACTTAATATGATAAATAAAATATTGTATACATTAATTATAGTATTACCTTCTTGATCAGCTATAACTTTTTAATAAACATAAATCATGTGTCATCTGCTATACATATTCATATTTGTAATTATTTTACCTTGTATAATCAACCGTTCATATTATCTTTTTTCCTTTTTTTAACTGCATGAGTCTATGAAGTCTATGTATGTAGTTTTTTTTTAAGTATGAGTCTGGGAAGTCTATATATGAGTATATGAAGTTGACAAAACTATGTATGAGTATATGAGTAGTCAAAACTAATATATGATGATAAGACTCAGAGCAGTGGATGCTTCTTTTCCCCAGCAGTTTTCAACAGCTCATAAGGAGAAGGAGTTGGAATCTGCATCTCATCCCTTCCCAAAGGCCTCAGGCCTGAGAATTGTACTTCTCTCCAGAAACCAAGATGGTATTTTTCCTTAATTGTTTTTGTTTTTTTCTTAATTGTGTCTTAGGTTTTGGCTTTTCACACACATTATTAGTGAAGTCTTCGCTCACTAGTACCCAATCAACTTGTCCTCCACAGGTTCCACATCACCTTTCTTCGAGGGACAGACTCCTCTTCTTGACCTCCGTCTCCATGTTCCCTCATGACACTTCACTGTCCTTCTCCAGCATGGACACTCTTTCCATCACTACCGCCCTGGAGAAGCTAGGTCCTCTTCTGGGAAGTCACTCCTTCCCAAAACCTCACACGAATTTTCTGAGGAGCAGCCCCAGTGCCCCCTTCTCAGCCAACACACCCACCTCCATTCTCTCTGAGCATCCAGTTTTGGTCAGCACAGTTCTGCTCTCCCCCTTCCAAGCTGTTCCCAAGGTTATCATCCAGGGATATGTAAGTTTCCATCTGAAATGCATCATTCCTCCTCTCCTAGGCAGTCAAATCTCATTTCCAGGCCCACATCATCTGATTAATTTCTTAAACATCAGAATAATCATTAACAATGATACATCAGTTTTCTAGATTCCATCTTAACCAAAACAACACACAAAAAAATTACAAACAACTTCTGGGAAGAAATTCTTTTGCCAATAGGACCAAAATGCTTAAACTATTCTCTCCAGGATAATTTTTATTCATTCTTAACACTCAGCTCAGGTGTCACCTCCTCTGTGGAGCCTGCAGCAAATTCCTTGAGACAGAGTTAGTCATTTCATTTTCTGGGCTTCACAAGATCATTGTAGCATTTAACACGTTGTATTATAATTACCTGCTAGGAAGTCTGCCTTTCCCACTGGGCCATGAACTCCACAAGAGCGAGAACTGTGTCTTATTCATCTTTCAATCCTCCATTTCAATTCAATTCAGCAACTATTCAACACCAAGCACTGTGTCAATTTCAAAGTTAGTACTTAATAAATATTTCAGGAGAGAATGAAAGAGTGAAGGGAGATAAGTTTACATTATCTTAAAAATTCTTTCAAAAAAGTTCTGGCAGAAACTTCCTTTTTTATGTCTACTTCCAAGGAAAAAGTGTTTTCCCAAAATCCATATTTAGATAGGGACCCTCAAGATTTGTTTTTCCAGTTTGTTTTATGTTTATAAACTTAAATTTAAGTGATAAATATCTTGAATTATATGGCATAGTACAAGTGACCTTGGAGGCAATCTCATCCAAGGAGACAGCTAATATATGGCACTCATGGCCTGCTCTCCACCTCCTGCATCCATAGCAGACAGCACGAATGGATCATGGTGTACTTCCTTATTAAGCCCATACTCAGCCTAGAATTCTCAACTCAGCACTTAACAAGCTGCTTTCTGGAGCTGGTAGTCAAGATGAATCCTGCTTGCCATCCTTGATCTAGTTTATTCTCTCTTATTGCATATAAGCAGAGTGAGGTCCAGAAAGGTTAAATGAATATGCTTAGATTCCAAAGCTAATTATTAGAGCCTGAACTAGACCCAGGTCACCTAAGCCTCTTTCCACCAGAATACACTTTAATTTTATAGCTATAGGATTGAATACTTCATAGAAAATGTTAGTTGTGGTCATCACGTTATATGTATATATGTATATATTTATGTATATACAATGATGAAAAAACCGACATTTTTACACTATATACATATGTATGTGTATATCTATGGACAAAACCAATATTTTCTATGAATTGTTTATTCCTATTAATCAGCTATAGAATATGTATGTTACATAATATATAATATAGCCACATAACATTTGTGTGTGTTATATATTACATTACATATTATAATATCTATGTTTTTCAGTCAAAAGTGAGGTAGCTCTAAAAGTGTGCCACAAAAAAACAGTAAAACCCAAAAAAATACAATGAAAAACAAGCATTGGTCAATTTAACTCTTTGATATTTTTCTTATAGCTTCTTAGCATATGCAAGACCTATTTGGAAAAAAAATAGCTGTGGAAATTAGAATTTAAGGCTGGTTATGTATATTATTTTAGTCAAGGGTTATGGAGTTAGTAACATATACTAATTTTCACTGTGTAAATTCGCTCATCCTCCTCCATGTGATGACACTGCCACCAATACAAGGGGGAATCAGAGAGGATCCCGGAACTGTCTTAATGTTACTGTTTAGGCAACTCCAATGCTAGAAGTATCTCTGTTTATCACACACAAATGTGTAAAAGAATGTATGTTAGAGAAAACAAGAAAATATTAAGAAGTGAGTACAAACCATTGTTTTCTTTTTCAGAGCATGAGTTTAAAATCCTCCAAAGGGATAGGGTTGTTTCTTCCAAGTGGGTCAGCAGGGGTATGAGAAAGAAACAGAAAAAGTTGAAATAAACAAAATCTCAGATTCTGTAGCCTCTTTTTCTTTGCATGGCAAACTGCAAGATACTCGCGAAGAATCAACACCCAGGATACCTCATTACCAGAGATAGAGAAGCAAATGAGAAAGGAGGTAAAGAATAAGCAGCCCCACAGCCTGAGAATAGATAAAAGAAGACAAGCAGAGGTCTTGGACACGGAATCACACAAATGTTAGCCATTTGAGGATAAGAAATGAAATAAACTATTAGCAAATAACAATGGTAGCCTTTGGAGGGGAAAAAGAAGTCTGATTTCTGTGGACCAAGAAAAAATAGTTGTAACTGACTTCTGGTTGATATTTGGGCTACATGTGTCCATTTGTATCACTGCCTGATTTACAGGTGTAGCAGACTTATGACAGTGGCCCAGTAGACGTGCCTCTTCAGAGACCAGGGGTACTAGAGCAATCCTAGTTTGCCAACAATCCCTGGGAGAAATGGTGATGGCAGTTCTGGTAGTTATTTGCCTACTGTCTCTCAGACCCAATCCAACCCTTCTATATTCAACTCTGTAAATGCCACAACTAGGTGTCTGAAAACTGTATTTCCCACACTAACTTGACAACTGGCTTTCAGTCAGATTCCACCAGTGGGAAGCACCAGCGGGAAGCTGCAAGGTGGGGAAGAAAGAGGCTGCTCCAGTGGGAGCATCTTCCATCTCTTGTGTGCATCCCTCCAGCATCTTTTATCACCTTTAGAACCAGGTGGGTGTGGTCCCCGCAGAAGTCGAGGCACCAGCACTGAGTTGGTTGCTCTTCCATGACAGCTGTCTGTTCCCTTCCATTCTTAGCCCCTGAGGCAGCAGCAACCCCTCTCCTTAACTTCTAAGCTGTTGTAACTAACATCGCATTAACCATTTTTGTAAAATGTTACATGCGTTTGTAATTGGGAGACAAGAAAACTACACAACTACATGCTTTGCTGTATGTGCACGAACTGAATAAAAGATGCACAGTAACCAATCACTGACAGACTTTGAAAGAAGCAACATGACTGTTCAGTGATCAAGATGCAGGTCTCTTATTTACACAGTGATTTGCAGATTAAAGAGCTAATAATGAAGTTTGTACTTTATACAATTAACCACAGTTGATATACTATGGTAACTGATTTTTAATCATGAAGGACTGGTGTTATTTACGAAAACTGTGGTAACTGAAATTCGTGCACATGAGAAGCATCTACAGCAAGGATCTCCCATAGTTGTTTGTTAAGTCTCAACTCTTTGGGGGTTCATAACTTTATTCCTTTTGAATTATAACTCATCTTCTTCAATAAATGTACCTCCAAACAGACTTGACTGGTCTTTTTCCTTTTAGAAACAAATTCATGGTGAAGTTTTATGAGTAATAAAAGCAATCTGTTCCCTTCTATTCTTTTTCCTCATGATATTTACACATTTCCTTGTGTTCACACACTAGATATGTGAGTCATACTGCATCATGCGCATTGGCCCATGGGCACGGTGGGCTGTGCTACTCAGCTGCCTTCTGTGTAAGTACATACAAAGATTAGATGAGAGTGGGCACCTCATGCATATGGATTATAGTTGTTTCAAACCTCTTTTGCCATTCTTCAAAATTTCCTGCCTTAGAATTCTGCATCCATGGCTTTTGCCAGTTGACATTGCTTTATGAGAGTAGGCAGAGTGTATGTGGCTTGGCTGATGGATTATGGGTGGATGTGACATGTGCCAGACTGAGGCCTCCTGAGATATGACATGTGTCTAGTCATCCTCTCATTCTACAACTACATGCAGGAAAGGAGAATGCCCAAGACTCTGCTGCTCCTCCTGCCTGAGCCCCAGTGTGAACACACGTGGGACAGAAGTAAAGCAAGCCCCACAGGCTTGGAGCAAATCTTCTCAGTTGACCCTAGGGTAGATCAGCTGAACTGCAGTTAACCTGCAGATGTGCAGAATGGAAGCTTATTGTAAGCCACTGAGTTGTTGAATGTTTCATTATGCTTTTTTTTTTTTTTTTTGGCAATAGCTGATGAATACAGGGCAACAGTATGCGTGAAGCTAATTAGAAAATCCCCCCAAAAGTTATACTGAAGAACACAAAGACTTTCCAGCTGGTAGAGAGAGGAAATGCAGTAAAGACACAGACAAAGCTGAGGTGCTATGGAAAAAGAGACACAGAGTGGTTGCTTTTCACCTGGAATAAGTTTGGACTTCCCAGCCTTTTTTGCTTGCAGCAGCCTGAATTCTCTGAAACATTAAAGAGCTCACTGTCTCTATTCCACAGCCTTCATGCCTGTGAAGGTTGGATCTCCAGAGTATATTAGGAGTAGTTAGAGTGGAAATGGAGAAATGTTGAGACTTTCCACAGGAGTCCCTATATCTAAATCTAACTAGGCCTGAAGGTAAATTCAATTTACCGTTTCAAATGAGGCCCTAGGAGTGGATGGTGGAACTACGCAGCATCCACTTTCATTAGAACTGTCTGGGCCTTTCCTTTTCACCAAGACATAGAGCTCATAGGAGAAGGTGAGCCTTTTATGAAAATTACTAATCCATTGAATTATTACCATCTCTCAAGTAAATCTCTAACCTACATAATCTCATTTGATTTTTCTCAAAGCTCAGTGAAAAAGGTGCTATTTTTAGCTGCATTTTACATATGAGGAGACTAAAATATATATCCTAAGTCATTTGCTTAAGGCCACACAGTTAGTAAACCCGGATGCTTAACGTCTCTACTCTAGCCATATTATGCTACTTGTTTTTAGGAAGTAGTGGTAGAAACCAACTCCTGCCCTAGAAAGATTTTCATTATCCTAGGCAAGAAGATACAGTCCTTGAAATAAACAAACAATTCAGAGCAAAGAAAAAAATACTTTTTTTGTACTTTACTTATAGCAAACATGGACAAAATGCATTTCTTCCATGCATCAGGTGTTTTTATTCTCTGCTGGGCTTTGTTATCTCATCTTTCTCCCCTGGGATTCTTTCTCTCCCCAGTACTCCTTTCTATACCTTTAGTATTCACCATTTCCCTTCTCCCAATCCCTCAAAAAATCCAGAGCAGCTTAATTCATTTATTTTACAAATATTATGCGTGCTTATTATGGGCAAGTCATTTTAATTTTGTAATGGACAATTATAACATTTCAGTTGTGTTAGTATTTCTGGGGATTGGTTGCCAATGGCAATCAACACACTCCAGTACTTGATACCTGCCCCAGTTCCAGTCAAAAGAACTTTCTCTCAAAACTGACTTAAAAACACAGTCCAGTTAGTTCCATGCATTTCTGCCAGCCATACCATGCTTGAGTAGTCCTTGAACCATCAGGCCTTGAGCACCATATTCTTGCACACTCTCATTACTGTTTTCACAACCTCTTTTCTCCATCCCTTCCCATGGTGCATCCTGAAATCTCTGTCCATTATAAACAAATTCCTTTACATTTTTAACCTCTTCCTTTCCCCTGTCTCTTTTCTTTCAGTCTATAAAACATGTTCATGAAGTTCCCTCAGTCTTTGGTAGCCACCATTCCAAAAAGAAATAAACACTCCTTTACCTAGCAAAGTCTAAGCTACCATACTAAATTTTGCCTTCTCTCCACTGTTCACGTTGAGTTCCCTACATTCAGTCTCCACTTAACTTCCCAGTTTCTCTTCATTCTACATCAGTCTGTCTTCTCCTCCCATGAAACTGCATATGGATTTATGAGTTGCTAGATCCTCTCCATCTTGATCTTATTTGACTTCTTACTTGATCAAGCTCTGGCTTGTGAACTTCTCTCTTTTCTTGGCTTTTGTGACACCACCTCACTTAGCTCTTCTTTTCTTCTAGCAATTTTTTCATCTGCTTCATGTGTACCTTCTCCTCTAGGTCCTGTAAATATTGAGGGTTCATCGGGATTCTATCCTTAGCCTTCCCTCTTCACGTGCTGCATGTGCTCTCTGAGGAATCTCTTTCATATATGTGGTTCTCACACCTATGTCTGCAGCCTAAATGTCTCTTCTGTGCTTCAGATAGCAGATATCTGCCTACAGGATATTTCCACTTTGATATTCCACAAGGTTAAAATGTCAAAAACAAATTCAACTCCTTCTCTTGTCCTATAAACCTGTTCCCAACCCCACATGTTCAATCTCAGTGTATCACACAGCCATCAACTTTGTTGCTCAGCCCAGAGACTTGGAGTCTCCTAACTGTCCCTTTTATGCCCAATGTTCTCCATGCTTCCAATTTATCCTCCTCACCATTATGAAAGAGATCATTAAAAACTGCAAATCTAATCATTTTACTATTCCCCATCCTCATCCCTGCCCTTCTTGTGTCCCAGCCTCTTTCTCTCAAACTTTCAGACATTTAGGTGGCTCCCCAGCACCTCACAATGAAGTTCAAAGTTCTTACCATGCTCTGAACTTTGCTATTTAGACTCCTGTCCTAATTTCTCCTATTTTCCTTAAAATCCTTTACATTTTAATCACTTCATGATCCTTGCCACTCCTCTGAGTACTTATTTTCATGAATTGATAGTCAGGGAACTTTAAAAATATAAGATATTAGGAAAGAGAGTGGATAAAGCAGAAAAGAAGAATTATGGAGGGATGGCAAGATGTTTGTCTACCCACTAGCTGCAGAAGTTTAGGTAGAAAATAGGAGCTGTGTTCAAAAGACCGTATCTGTCAGCCATATCATGCTTGAGCTCTGAACAGATGCTGTACACTGGGTCACAGCAACAAAGACTGACAGAGTTGGGATGGGTCATTGACTTCTTCAGACCACAGCACAGCCCTGGTGCCCCGAAGGTATAGGGTAGAGGTAGGGGGGATAATGGGGGCTGAGTAACCCCAGCACAGCAGTGCTTTCACAGAGGCCACTATGATTGGAGTGAAGACCATGGTGAAGGTTCCTGATGAGTTTGGAATGGAAGAACATGAGGGGAGTAGTTGAGACCAGATATTCTAGAGGATTACCAGGTATAACTGGGAAAGATGGCGAAAGAGGGGTGATATTCAGGAGTTATGCAGGTGGGGACTAGGCAGCAAATTACATGTCTACTGGGTTGCAAGGAAAACTGAAGACATCTGATGGGGACTCCCTTAATTCCACTGCCAAACCTAAAAGCGGAATGAACTTTTTTTCCCCTCACCTTGATTGTTTCTACTTCTGTCTAAGGGCAGTTCCTATAATTGTGCTTCAGATTTTTTCTCATCCGATCTTTTTGGCTGCCTTAAACTATTATTATTGCTCACTCTGTCTTGAGACTCCTTTCTGTAGAGATTTAAACATAATTCCCTGGCTTCCCTTTATCCCCCCTGACTTGCAAACTACAATCCTATCTCTCTTCCACCCTTAAAAAATCTTCTGAAAAAACTTGTCTATACTCTCTCTCTATGTCCTTACCTTCCTTTGACTCCCATATTCGTTACTAACAAGCAAGCAGGCAGAGGGATGTTCCAAGATGGCCTAATAGGAACAGCTCCAGTCTACAGCTCCCAGCGTGAGCGATGCAGAAGACGGGTGATTTCTGCATTTCCAACTGAGGTACTGGGTTCATCTCACTGGGGATTGTCAGACAGTGGCTGCAGCCCACAGAGCAGGGCAGAGCATTGCGTCACCTGGGAAGTGCAGGGGGTCAGGGAATTCCCTTTCCTAGCCAAGGGAAGCCATGACAGACAGTACCTGGAAAATCGGGACACTCCCACCCTAATACTGTGCTTTTCCAACGGTCTTAGCAAACAGCACACCAGGAGATTATATCCCGCGCATGGCTCAGAGGCTGGGAAGCTCGAACTGGGTGGAGCCCACTGCAGCTCAAGGAGGCCTGCCTGCGTCTGTAGACTCCACCTCTGGGGGCAGGGCATAGCTGAACAAAAGGCAGCAGAGGCTTCTGCAGACTTAAACATACCTGTCTGACAGCTTTGAAGAGAGTAGTGGTTCTCCCAGCATGGAATTTGAGATCTGAGAATGGACAGACTGCCTCCTCAAGTGGGTCCCTGAACACCGAGTAGCCTAACTGGAAGACACCTCCCAGTAGGGGCCGACTGACACCTCATACAGTGGGGTGCCCCTCTGAGAAGAAGCTTCCAGAGGAAGGATCAGACAGCAACATTTGCCGTTCTGCAATATTTGCTGTTCTGCAGCCTCTGCTGGTGATACCCAGGCAAACAGCGTTTGGAGTGGACCTTCAGCAAACTCCAACAGACCTGCAGCTGAGGGTCTGTTAGAAGGAAAACTAACAAACAGAAAGGACATCCACACCAAAACCCCATCTGTACATCACCATCATCAAAGACCAAAGGTAGATAAAACCACAAAGATGGGGAGAAACCAGAGCAGAAAAGCTGAAAATTCTAAAAATCAGAGTGCCTCTTCTCCTCCAAAGGAATGCAGCTCCTTGCCAGCAACAGAACAAAGCTGGACGGAGAATGACTTTGACAAGTTGAGAGAAAAAGGCTTTAGATGATTGGAAATAACAAACTTCTCCGAGCTAAAGGAGGATGTTTGAACCCATTGCAAATAAGCTAAAAACCTTGAAAAAAGATTAGAAGAATGGCTAACTAGAACAAACAGTGTAGAGAAGACCTTAAATGACCTGATGGAGCTGAAAACCATGGCATGAGAACTACATGATGCATGCACAAGCTTCACTATCCGATTTGATCAAGGGGGAGAAAGGGTATCAGTGATTGAAGATCAAATGAAGGAAATGAAGCAAGAAGAGAAGTTTAGAGAAAAAAGAGTAAAAAGAAATGAACAAAGCCTCCAAGAAATATGTGACTATGCGAAAAGACCAAATCTATGTCTGATTGGTGTACCTGAAAGTGACAGGGAGAATGGAACCAAGTTGGAAAACACTCTTCAGGATATTATCCAGGAGAACTTCCGCAACCTAGCAAAGCAGGCCAACATTCAAATTCAGGAAATACAGAGAACACCGCAAAGATACTCCTCGAGAAGAGCAACTCCAAGACACATAATTGTTAGATTCACCAAAGTTGAAATGAAGGAAAAAATGTTAAGGGCAGCCAGAGAGAAAGGTTGGGTTTCCCACAAACGGAAGCCCATCAGACTACCAACGGATCTCTCAGCAGAAACTCTACAAGCCAGAAGAGAGTGGGGGCCAATATTCAACATTCTTAAAGAAAAGAATTTTCAACCCAGAATTTCATATCCAGCCAAACTAAGCTTCATAAGTGAAGGAGAAATAAAATCCTTTACAGACAAGCTAATGCTGAGAGATGTTGTCACCACCAGGCTTACCTTACAAGTGCTCCTGAAGGAAGCACTAAACATGGAAAGGAACAACTGGTACCAGCCACTGCAAACACATGCCAAATTGTAAAGACCATCGATGCTAGGAATAAACTGCATCAACTAACGAGCAAAATAACCAGCGAATATCATAATGACAGGATCAAATTCACACATAACAATATTAACCTTAAATGTAAATGGGCTAAATATTCCAATTAGAAGACACAGACTGGCAAATTGGATAAAGAGTCAAGATCCATCAGTGTGCTGTATTCAGGAGACCCATCTCACATGCAGAGACACACATAGGCTCACAATAAAGGGATGGAGAAAGATCTACCAAGCAAATGGAAAACAACAACAAAAAAAACAGGTGTTGCAAATCCTAGTCTCTGATAAAACAGACTTTAAACCAACAAAGATCAAAAGAGACAAAGAAGGCCATTACATAATGGTAAAGGGATCAATTCAACAAGAAGAGCTAACTATCCTAAATATATATGCACCCAATACAGGAGCACCCAGATTCATAAACAAAGTCCTCAGAGACCTACAAAGAGACTTAGACTCCCACACAATAATAATAGGAGATTTTAACACCCCACTGTCAACATTAAACAGATCAATGAGACAGAAAGTTAACAAGGATATCCAGGAATTGAACTCAGCTCTGCACCAAGCAGACCTAATAGACATCTACGGAACACTCCACCCCAAACCAACAGAATATATATTCTTCTTAGCACCACATCGCACTTATTCCAAAATTGACCACATAGTTGGAAATAAAGCACTCCTCAGCAAATGTAAAAGAACAGAAATTATAACAAACTGTCTCTGAGACCACAGTGCAATCAAATTAGAACTCAGGGTTAAGAAACGCACTCAGAACCACTCAACTACATCGAAACTGGACAACCTGCACCTGAATGACTACTGGGTACATAACGAAATGAAGGCATAAATAAAGATGTTCTTTGAAACCAATGAGAACAAAGACACAACATACCAGAATCTCTGAGACACATTTAAAGCAGTGTGTAGAGGGAAATTTATAGCACTAAATGCCCACAAGAGAAAGCAGGAAAAATCTAAAAGGGGCAACCTAACCTCACAATTAAAAGAACTAGAGAAGAAAGAGCAAACACATTCAAAAGCTAGCAGAAGGCAAGAAATAACTAAGATCAGAGCAGAACTGAAGGAGATAGAGACACAGAAAACCCTCCAAAAAAATCAAAGAATCCAGGAGCTGGTTTTTTGAAATGATCAACAAAATTGATAGATTGCTAACAAGACAAATCAAGAAGAAAAGAGAGAAGAATCAAATAGACACAATAAAAAATAATAAAGGGGATATCACCACCGATCCCACAGAAATACAAACATCAGAGAATACTATAAACACCTCTATGCAAATAAACTAGAAAATCTAGAAGAAATTGGTAAATTCCTGGACACGTACCCCATCCCAAGACTAAACCAGAAAGAAGTTGAATCCCTGAATAGACCAATAACAGGCTCTGAAATTGAGGCAATAATTAATAGCCTACCAACTAAAAAAGTCCAGGACCAGACAGATTCACAGCCGAATTCTACCAGAGGTACAAAGAGGAGCTGGTACCATTCCTTCTGAAACTATTCCAATCAATGGAAAAAGAGGGAATCCTCCCTAACTCATTTTATGAAACCAGCATCATCCTGATACCAAAGCCTGGCAGAGACACAACAAAAAAAGAGAATTTTAGACCAATATCCCTGATAAACATCAGTGCAAAAATCCTCAATAAAATACTGGCAAACTGAATCCAGCAGCACATCAAAAAGCTTATCCACCATGATCAAGTTGGCTTCATCCCTGGGATGCAAGGCTGGTTCAACATATGTAAATCAATAAACATAATCCATCATGTAAACAGAACCAAAGACAAAAACCACATGATTATCTCAATAGATGCAGAAAAGGCCTTTGACAAAATTCAACAGCGCTTCATGCTAAAAACTCTCAATAAATTAGGTATTGATAGGACGTATCTCAAAATAATAAGAGCTATTTATCACAAAATCACAGCCAATATCATACTGAATGGGCAAAAACTGGAAGCATTCCCTTTGAAAACTAGCACAAGACAGGGATGCCCTCTCTCACCACTCCTATTCAGCATACTGTTGGAAGTTCTGGCCAGGGCAATCAGGCAGGAGAAAGAAATAAAGGGTATTCAATCAGGAAAAGAGGAAGTCAAATTGTCCCTGTTTGCAGATGACATGATTGTATATCTAGAAAACCCCATTGTCTCAGCCCAAAATCTCCTTAAGCTGATAAGCAACTTCAGCAAAGTCTCAGGATACAAAATCAATGTGCAAAAATCACAAGCATTCCTCTACACCAATAACAGACAAACAGAGAGCCAAACCATGAGTGAACTCCCATTCACAATTGCTTCAAAGAGAATAAAATACCTAGGAATCCAACTTACAAGGTATGTGAAGGACCTCTTCAAGGAGAACTACAAACCACTGCTCAACAAAATAAAAGAGGACACAAACAAATGGAAGAACATTCCGTGCTCATGGATAGCAAGAATCAATATCATGAAAATGGCCATACTGCCCAAGGTAATTTATAGATTCAATGCCATCCCCATCAAGCTACCAAAGACTTTCTTCATAGAATTGGAAAAAACTACTTTAAAGTTCATATGGAGCCAAAAAAGAGCCCGCATTGCCAAGACAACCCTAGCCTAAAAGAACAAAGCTGGAGGCATCATGTTACCTGACTTCAAACTATACTACAAGGCTACAGTAACCAAAACAGCATGGTACTGCTACCAAAACAGAGATATAGACCAATGGAACAGAACAGAGCCCTCAGAAATAATAGCACACATCTACAACCATTTGACAAACCTGACAAAAACAAGACATGGGGAAAGGATTCCCTATTTAATAAATGGTGGTGGGAAAACTGGCTAGCCATATGTAGAAAGCTAAAACTGGATCCCTTCCTTAACACCTTATACAAAAATTAACTCAAGATGGATTAAAGACTTAAATGTTAGACCTAAAACCATAAAAACCCTAGAACAAAACCTAGGCAATACCATTCAGGACATAGGCATGGGCAAGGACTTCATGACTAAAACACCAAAAACAATGGCAACAAAAGCCAAAATTGACAAATGGGATCTAATTAAACTAAAGAGCTTCTGCACAGCAAAAGAAACTACCATCAGAGTGAATGGGCAACCTACAGAATGGGAGAAAATTTTTACAATCTACCCATCTGACAAAGGGCTAATATCCAGAATCTACAAAGAACTCAAACAAATTTACAAGAAAAAAACAAACAACCCCATCAACAAGTGGGCGAAGGATATGAACAGACACTTCTCAAAAGAAGAGATTTATGCAGCCAACAGATACATGAAAAAATGTTCATCATCACTGGCCATCAGATAAATACAAATCAAAACCACAATGAGATATCATCTCACACCAGTTAGAATGGCAATCATTAAAAAGTCAGGAAACAACAGGTGCTGGAGAGGATGTAGAGAAATAGGAACACTTTTACACTGTTGGTGGGACTGTAAACTAGTTCAACCATTGTGGAAGACAGTGTGGCGATTCCTCAGGGATCTACAACTAGAAATACCATTTGACCCAGCAATCCCATTACTGGGTATATACCCAAAGGATTATAAACCATGCCGCTATAAAGACACATGCACACATATGTTTATTGTGGCACTATTCACAATAGCAAAGACTTGGAACCAACCCAAATGTCCATCAATGATAGACTGGATTAAGAAAATGTGGCACATATACACCATTGAATACTATGCAGGTCATAAAAAAGGATGAGTTCATGTCCTTTGTAGGGACATGGATGAAGCTAGAAACCATCATTCTGAGCAAACTATCACAAAGACAGAAAACCAAACACCACATGTTCTCACTCATAGGTGGGAATTGAACAATGAGAACACTTGGACACAGGCGGGGGGGAACATCACACACTGGGGCCTGTCGTGGGGTGGGGGAAAGGGGGAGGGATAGCATTAGGAGATATACCTAATGTAAATGACAAGTTAACGGGTGCAGCACACCAACATGGAACGTGTATACATATGTAACAAACCTGCACATTGTGCACATGTACCCTAGAACTTAAAGTATAATAATAATCATCATCATCATCATCATAAAGCAAGCAGGCAAAACAAAACAAAACAACCACCTTCCAGGGTTACCGACGGCTTCCTTATCCAAAAATCCAAGGTATATTTTGCATTTCATTTATCTTACTTTGCAATCCTTGACATTGTTTATCATTCCCTCATTCCTAAAGCCATTTTATTTTTTTACTTTGGCCTCTTTAACTCCCTTTCCTGTTTTTTTCCTACCTCTTTGGCTGCCCCTTCTACTTCTTCTTTGCAGAATTAGCCTATATTACCTAGATTAAATGGAGAGCTGCTCATTCTATATTTGATCTCTAGAGAGTCCAATCCTTACCTATCAGTTATATTTAGATTTCCATATCAATAATTCTCAAATTTTATGTCTTTGCATTGCAGCCACACTGGCCTTTCAGCTCTTCAAATGCACCATATTTGGTCCCCCTATATTTTTGCACAAACTGTTCATTGTATCAAGAATATGCTCCCCCCTAGTAAACTCTTGTTCAGTTTTCAGATCTCAACTGAACTTATGAGAAGGCTTTTCTCACATCATCCTAGGTCAGGTTCATTTGCCTTGCACTCCCATAACACTGTCTCTTTCCTTCAGAGAATTTAATTTACAGTTATGAGTTTGTTCTGTCTCCTCCCATTTCGGATGATTTCAACCCTCCTGATCTATGTTAAAGGCAGAGAGAGCAAAGCAAACATTAGTTGTTTTCATTGTCATCCACCTTTTTGAGGTAGATGAGATCTGTCATTTCTCAGTCTAGAGTCTCTTTCAGTTAGCAATACTGGTGAAAGAATAAAAGAAGCAACATGCATGTGGTACTTACTGGCACAGGTTGCAGTGAAACCATTGGGAGAAATGAGTTTGCAGTGCCTCCAGAAACTCTCAGGTGAGCAAACTCAATTTATTCCTTTTCTATACCTCCAATCCTTGCTTTCCCAAGTTCATTCTTAACAGGGAGCACACATCCCTCCAAGGCATTTCTGCATGTCCAATATGTTGCTAGTTAGCTGTTATTCTGCCTTTGATTACTTTTTTCTCTTTTCCAAATTAAACTTTTTGAGACATTTTAAATTCACAAAGATGTAAGAAATAACACAGAGAGATCCCATGTGTCCTTTTCCAAATATCCCCCAATGGTGTTGTCATGCAAAACTGTAGTACGATATCACATCCAAAATACTGACAGTGATACAGTCAAGATACAGAATGTTTCCATCACCATAAGGATCCCTCTTGTCGCCCTTCTACAATCCCACCTACTTCCTTCCCACCCCCACCACCTTCATAATGCCTAGCAAGCACGACTCTGTTTCTCACTTCTATAATTTATTTCTGTATGTTTATCTTTTTTTGTTTGGGGGTTTTTGCTTTTTTTAGACAGGGTCTCACTGTGTTGCCCAGGATGGAGTGCAGTGGTGCGATCATGGCTCACTGCAGCCTCTGCTTCCTGGACTCAAGTGGTCCTTCTACCGCAGCCTCCCAAGTAACTGGGATCACAGGCACATTCCACCACACCCAGCTAGTTTTTGTATTATTTTGGTAGAGGTGGTGTAAGGAACATGGAAGTGCTTTGGTCAAGGACAGGCTGAAGTAAACATCCAGAGTGACTCAGCGAGTCTAGAGTGCAGGTGTATAATTCCACTTGTTATCATAGCCACATAGACATAACATAGAGAAGTTCACCACCATAGCCATAACATAGGGAAGGTTCATCACTTGGCTCTATGCCACTATTGCCTGTAAAATATATAACTGCCCTGTTAACACTGTGGAGGCACACTGGTACCCAGAGAAAGACAGAGAGCCAAAGCTGTCTGTCTTTGCAGACAGACAGAGGGGAGCCAGGACACAGCTTGGCCTGCTCGTGCCCAAAGAGAGTTTAGCTGCTCACCCTGAAGGCAAGGGAGAGTTGGCCGCACAGCTGTGTGTGTGGGCTGCCTGACTAAGCAGCCGAGACAGGGCGGAGAGAGCTGTTTATGAGAGCTGCTGCTGAATAAAATCATCTTTCACCTGCCTTTGGTTCCCCAAGGGTTCTTTCTGCTCATCTACCCACTCCCTTGAACCTCAGCATGGGCTGGAACCTGACCCTGGGCATGACATTTGGCATAGTCATGAAACTGACAGGGTTTCACTATGTTGCTCAGGCTGCTCTTGAACTCCTATACTCAAGCAGTCCACCCACCTCGGCCTCCAGAAGTGCTGGGATTATAGGCGCGAGCCACTGCGCCTGACCTGTATGTTTATCTTTTATCCTGGAATCTTACTGAGCTCATTTATTTTATATATAGGATTTTGTATGTAGACAATGTTATCTGCAAATAGGGAGTTTTAATGTTCTAACTCTTCCTTTCCAATCTCTATTTTTTCTTTTTGCTTTTTATCCCATTAGCTACAATTTCCAGCACCATGTTAATTAACAGTGGTAAAAGCAGACATCTCTGCCTTGTTTTCCTATCAGAGGGAAGTAATTCAGTCATTCATCATTAATGAACATGATCTGTAGCTTTTTTGTAGGTGCTTTTTATCAAGTTGAAGCAGTTACCCTCTAATTTCTAATTTCCTAAGAAGTTTTATCATTTCTGTATCACAAACACTGAATTTTGTCAAGTGCTTCTTCTCTGATACAATCATGTGATTTACTTTTATTCAGCCTGATAATACAGTAGTCAATTCTAAAATATTAAACCAGATTTGTATCTCTGAAATAACCTTTATTTGGTCTTTAAAAAGTATTGCTAAATTCTACTTGCTAATATTTTGCTAAGGATTTTCACACCTATATTCATAAGGATATTGGCCTGTAGTTTCTACCGTTGTGCTGTCTCTGCTTTTGGTAACAGAATAATTCTAGCTTCATAAAATGAAGTATTCTCTCCTTTTCTATTTTCTGGAAGAGATTGTATAGAATTAGTGTTAATTCTTCTTTAAATATTTGGTAGAATTCTCCAGTAATTCTTCCATCCCCAGACACTCTGATGTTATTAGCATGTAGCATGACCCAGGCATTGGGATTTTAAAAATCTCCCCAGGTGATTACACTATGCAGTGTGAATTTCTTAACATTTCCAATTAAAAAGTACTGGAAATTTGTCAAGTCTGAAGTCATAGATAACAACCTTTAAAAACTGGTTTGAAATGTTCTTGACATTATGAATATTCACCTGTATTTCCAGACAAATTTGATTTATATATCTTTGGGATAAATAAAAAACATTTTAACATTAAAAGTTCAAAAATGTCAGACTTCAAAGGCTTTTTTGTCACCTGTACTTTTTCTTCTTAAAAATCAGAAGTACGAAATGGTCTTTTCATTAACCTATGTCCTAAATTCAAAATCCCCCAAACAAATACACTGCATACTAGATAATCAGTTTCATGATTCAGAGCATCGAATATAAAATGTACTACTGCTTCAATAATACACATCTTAGATTTATAAAGTGAAACAAAGACTGAGAATTTAAGAAAACTGTCATAGTATTGCAAACCCTTGAATATTGAAAGTAATGTCATATGCGTACAAAATGTTCCCATTTCCATTTGAATAAAAACACGGCCACTATATGAATAGCTAACGAAAATATTCATGGTTTACAAGAAATTTTCTTTCCAATGAAATGAATTAAGCTTTCAAAAATGAACCGGACACCGCCGCTTACGCCTGTAATCCCAGCACTTTGGGAAGCTGAGGCAGGCAGATTACGTGAGCTGGAGTTTGAGACCAGCCTGGGCAATATGGCAAACCGTCTCTACGACAAATACAAAAATGAGACAGGAGTGCTGTTGTATGCATATAGTCCCAGCTACTTGAGAAGCCAAGACAGGATTGCCTGAGCCCAGGGAGGTCAAGGTTGCAGCAAGCCAAGATCAAGCCACTGCACTCGAACCTGGGCTACAGAATGACATCCCGCCTCAAAAGAAAAAAAAGGAATAAAAAAAAAAGCCTTTTCTGTTTATGACCAAAAAAAAAAAAAGATGGAAAAACTATTTTCCCATTATCTAGTTTTATTGTCATAGGCCAATTGATGCTTTATTTGTATCAGTATGAACTTCATGGGGAAAACATAAATTGCTTTTCTGGAGAAAAGGTGTTTGGAGTGTTGATTAAAAATATGGGGACGTTTTTATGAGTTTTTATTTGGCGGCTCTGTGAATTCTCATAGTATAGTATGAAAAATGAAAATTCCAGTCCAGATTCTGACACTTATTTTACCTTATTTAATAAAAATAATCTCCCATACCTTTCAATAGAGACTCATGATGAGACTATGGAGTTTCTTGAAAACTTATAAAACATCTGTAGTTTCAAGAAAAAAAAATCTGCTATGGTATACAAAATCCTGGCAATTACATATTGTGGAAAATATCCATAAGAGTGTCACTACTGCAGCAGAGCTTAACTACTGTATTAGGCATAATTTGGTTTCTGTTATGAATATGGAATAAATTCAGTTAAGTTCTAACGTATTTCAGAGAAAATAACAGGCTGTTCACAAAGCACAATTATTACTTATTTATACATATCTGCTTTGTAAAAGAAAATTCAAAATGTATCACGAGTTTTAAAAACTATATATACTGACCAGGAAGTTCTGAGAATATATCATGAATAATTAAAGGCATGATGTTCACAGCATTGTTTATACTAAAAAGTGGAAAGGTTAAGTTCCCAAAATGAGAATTGATTCATTACATTGATTCATCTTCAAATAATGGAGGGACCATTAAAAATAGTATCAATATCATAAGGGAAAAAAGGTTACAAGGCAGTAAAAATTATACAATTCCATTTTTAAAATGTCTAGAGATCATTTATAAATGACAGGCTATCACAGTACCTCCACGCTTTTAAAAATTTTTAGCTTCTCCGCAATATTACATGATGAAAAAGATTAAAGGAAAAATTCCTTCATTGTGCAGAAACACTTTTCAGATAAGTGAAGGCTGACAACATGCTTAATCTGCAAATACTCCACGGGGGCTGGCCATACATGTTTGTGTGCCTATACACAAACATATAACTTTTTAAAATAATTGTACCATTATTAACCAAAGTCCTCTACTTTGCTAGATCTTTTAACTAGATTTTTATCAAAATTTGTGTATCTGTAGATGAGAATGTATTTTCTTGCAGAAGCAGTGTCACGTTACCATGTTAGATGACAGAAGATACATATGCGATGAAAATCGAAATAATTCACATTCATCATTCAATAAAACTATTAAATAAGAAATGAACATGCTGAATGCTGGAAAAGCAGGCCAAATCAGATTGGGGGAAGAAATGGCTCAGATGAACTGTGGAAATTACAGAAGTTCTGAAAACTTTCAACGGCTTTGCAAATTGACACTATAAGCACTTTGTGTCCAATTTCACTTCAGAAACTACGGCATTCCTTCTTTAACATCAGAATAGTATTTTTATTCTTATCACTTATGATAAAGAGAATTTTTTGGCTGCCAAGCAGAATAAAGAGAAAAACTTCCAAGCAGGAAAGGAGTCAGGAATTTGGGGGAAGGATCATGAGGATTTATGTATCTGTGAAAGGAGGAGACATAAAGCCAGTGACATACTGGTGCCAAGATTGACTTAATACAACTGAAAATGGAGGGTAAAGAGGGGAAGAGGAAATGTGGAGTCATTTCTTCGTATAAACATTTTCAGAATTCTCAATTATGTAATGCCTAATGAATGCAATTTTTTTCTAGTATAAATTAACTGATGTAAGATGTAGGACAATTTTAAAACGTTAACAACTGTTTTTAGTAAGACTTTTATTTTAAAAATTTTCAAAATATAAAAATAATAAACAATATGGATTTAACAAAACATAATTCAACTATAAATAATAAAAATGTTGACAACCCCACATAAACATTTAACACTATAAACATTCTAAGCATACAAGAGTAGTATTCTAGTTCAAGTTTTATCTTTTTTCAGTTCAAGTTTTATTATTACTTTAAAAAAATAAACAAAAAAGCTGCTACAGCTTAACCAATTGCTTTCGCTCCACTCAAAGAGCAGGGAAATTTTTTCCCCATGCCAACACACATTCATGAAATGGGATACTTATGGGCACAGGTATTTAAAACTGGAACAATCCAGTCTCCAGACAAGAAGACTCCTTTGGTGTTTTTCAATTCAACAGTCCACCGAAATTGAGTTTAAATAAACCACTTATTAGAAGAAATCTTGTGCCAGACAATATGTTCTGAAGTAGCATCATACCCAAAACAGGTTTAGCCTTCTGAGAATGAAAAGCAGGCATCCATGAATGCTTTGCTGATACTTAAAACATTCTATCATATGAACATTCATTAAGGTGCTGGAAGGAAATCTTGGGACAAAACAAAAAAATCGACACATCAATGCAAAAACCTACAATGCAATAATACTTCTCTTTACAACTCACCAAATGTTCCGTAAATATTTAAGAATCACTATGCCTCCTGTTGAGTGACAGACATGGGAATTTAAAGCAAAGCAGGATTACATATTTTAGTATTAGAAAAGTTTTTCATTTGAAATAAGGGAAAACAGCCATGCTGAATGAGTTTTTGGATTCTAGCCAAATTAACTGCCTTCCTCTTAACAAAACAATTTTCTTTTTGGGAAGCTGGGCACAAATAAGTGTAAGGGCATTCTGCATCATATTCTTAAATTATGATGTGTTTCTAATGGGCTGGGCTCTCTATCTGACTCAGCACAGACCACTTTTATAAGTATGCTGCTACATTATAATAAATCACAAGGAATCAGATTAAAACCTAGCAAAGTCTGAACAATGGGTTCAAAAATGATACTGAAAGGTTTTATAGCACCAATGACTTTTTCCTAAGACACTTGAGGGGCCTGTATCATTTTAAAGTATGATTTATCTTGTAAACAAGACCAAAAATATTCAGTTGATCTGTATTTTGAGCATAAATATTTATAAACTCTATTAAAAAAACAAATATAGCATGACTAGAGCAGCTTAATAGTGTAAAATCTAAGTATTGAAAAATATAGATATATAAAAGGCTTTCATTATGCAATCATGCAGAGGAAACTGCTTCATTCAATTACACAAAAGTGATTCTGTACAGTTATCTACAATAGCTCCATGAGAATCCTATTTAGGAAAATAAAATAATGAAAACCTTATCTCTAATCAACACGGGGATTTTAAATATGTAACTGACTAGATCTCAAAGCAATTTTAAAAAAGCGCAGTGATCTTAGTGAGAATCAAGTCATCTTGAATTCTGATTCTCAATGGTATCTTCAATTTTGTTTTGCTTTGTTTTTAATTTTAAAAGCAAAAAGTGAAAAATCAAACCAAACCAAACAAAAACTCCAGGATGACAAAGTTGCAGGTAGTGGCATGTAGTCCATATCCATTAAACAATCAACACTGTTAACACCAAGTTTAGTGTCTTCAGACAATGGTCTTTACCCTAGCAGTAAACCAGTGTAGTAGGGGCAGAAAATTCTTTGTTTACAATTAAAAATACTCAACTAATTTGGGGAAATATTTATGAACACCCTGTGGCTAGTTTGTAAATGTGAACCAAAAGTCTAACAACAACAACAAAAAAAGGCCTTGTAAACTACTAGGTCTTTAAAATATTAGAAGACTTTCCAAATTATGTATTTTTAACCAAGCCTAGAATTAACCATGCTGTATCCAACCAATGTGGATCAAAACAGTTAATTTACATTATGACTGATGTGTTTATTACATTCTTTTTACTCTTCATGACAAATGCAATGCATACTCAAGGGGAAAAAAAGTTTGCAGAATGTTAAGCTTTGCACCAAAAAAAAAAAAAAAAGTGATAAAGGTAGTATGGCTGGATAAAAATAAAACAAGGGTGAATAAAAATCAGTGTCAATTGGACTTTTCTAATATAGTTACTACCAAGTATAGCTTCCAACTTTTTAAATGCCTCCTGAGAATCTATGAAGGAATACTCAGAAACTAAGTGCAAACATTTCTTATAGTCCCATTATAAAAAAGATATTGTGGCTACATATTTAGGATGAGATTTAATCAGATTCTTTATAAGTAATTCTAAGCCATATTAAGTCATACTGCTTATAAATAATTTGGACATACACTTCTTAAAATGGTTAAAAACTAGTCTTTACCAATGTTAGGCACACAACACTATTTCCTCTTGCTTTAAAGGTCGTCTTCGATGTCTTGATTGAAAGTCAAAAAAATGTGAAAAAATTATGTTAAGACATATAATTTTTAAAATATTTATAATCCACAGATCATCATTTGTCACTTGGAAGAAAATTATTTTCTTTGTTGGTTTTGAAGGGCTAAGAATTTTTAAAAAAATATTTGGGTAAATGACCTTGGCAACATCAGAAAGTATATTCAGAAGAAATGCACAAGCTATTACAGTACATAAAAAAGTACTTTATCATCTATTCAAAATTATTTTCAGTGGCTATCCTACTCCCAGAAATATATCTTAAGATCCCCCCAAAATTAAAACCAAACTCATGTTTAACTTTTTAATTCATTTTCATTTTAAATTGCTCATGCTAATGAACACAGTAGTATGGCTTTACAGATTTCCTAGACACAATCCTCAATTTGGCTCAGACTTGAATATACGTCATCCAAGAGAACTTTTTCGTTCCTTCTTAAGGTGTTTAAAAAATAAATGGCTATAAAGTATGGGGAGAAAACATTTAAGAATAAGGTCAGAGCACACATTCAGATACACTTTGGACTCAGATGTACTCTTAGAGAACTGTAGAGATAAAATGCTAATTATAGTACATGTAAACATCTGTTCAAATTGATAAAGAGTGAACATAAAATAATAGGATGATATTATTGTAACAGTCGTCTCCAGACAGGAACTGGTCTTGCTCTTGCAGTCACAAAGCTAAATTCAGGCAATGATGATCTCTCTCTGCTGGAAAAAGAGAAGACTATTAAAAAAAACTTTGAAAATAGCAAATAAATCTAAAACTTGAATCACATCATAAATTGACCTCCAACTTTTCTAAACATTAAAAAAGTCTATTTGAGAAAGAAATCAAAATCAAAGTTGCAGGAAAATTACACAAAGCTTTGGGCTAAAATGATTTTACCAAAACCTCTCTGCATCATACTCCCTTCAAACATTAGGCTGCAAAAGATCACAGCATACAACATATCTATGGTCTAAAATTTTCATTGCGAAAACTACTTAACTGATATGGAAAATTTTCACAGAGATGTGGGTAGGCAAAGAAATTTTAGGAAATCATGAACAAATTCCAAGATGTTGTAAATAAAAATGAAAACAGATACAATCTTCTTAAGGTTTCCCAAAGATTTCAAAGTAATTGCAAGATACATCTAATTTCCTTAAACTCCATATGATAATCACTTCATTTGTTAATCACATTATATGAAGTAAAAGTATACTAAGCACAAAGGCCCACAGTAAAAATAAAAGGAATACATGGAAATCAGACAGTGCCTGGTATACAAGGAGAGGCTAACTTTGGATGATGGGAAATGAGTAGATGGATGAAATAAACAGTGAGGGAGGATTTAGGAAGTAGCAAGTATAAAAAGTGGATACGAAAAAAGTAGAATTTTAAAATGCTTTTAATTACATTAAGTAACAAGCACATAATATGGATAAACTGCAAGAAAGTTATACCAAATTAGGTGTTTTTCTACTAAGCAAGTTTGATGTTTTTCATTAGCAATTAATGGGAATGGCAGTCATGTTCACCAAAGTTTCTTTCCTAGGATTTTTAAGTAGCAACTTTGGAAGATTATCTATTGTCATCTGACAGGTATATAATGATCAGAAAGGAAAATTTTAAAAACTGCTCTTCCCTAAAGGCCTGTATACATACCTTTGAGCAACTAGCCAGTTCAAGAAGTTAACAGGAACAAGGTAGTTCCTGAGATCTGGGAAAAGGAAATTTTCTTCTTGTCTTACAAATATTGTACACTAGAAATTTAATTCTGCATTAAATTTCCATTTGTAATTTACAGTATTTTATAAGAACAAGAAAAGCCCCGAGAGAAAGACCAAAAAGTTAACTAAGCCAGAATTTCACGCAGGAAATTTTTGTTTTAAAAGGCTAATATAGACTTTTGTAAGTGGGGCAGGTGTGTGTGTGTGTGTGTGTGTGTGTGTGTGTGTGTGTGTTGGGTGGAGCTTACAAAATTTATATAAATTCTAGAAGAACTAAAACTAATTTTCTATCAGTCTACATTGTGTGTAAGGAGGGAAAAGAAAACATATTGATAAAGTTTGCTTCATACTCTAAAATAGCCAGTGATATTTCAACATGCCAAATAAGCAACTGTTGCTTCCTTTTTGAACCCTTATAAGCCAACAGTTAGTGTTCCAAGTAAGAGTGGATAAAGTCCCCCAAAATCAGTTCTAGTAAGAAGACATTTCTTTCAATTAAACTTAGCCACACTTTCTACAGGAAATCAGCTAAAACAGTGAAGTCCTGTCTTTAAACTATTAGTTGTCACATTTAATCAAATCACAATAAAACAAAAGCTATGGAATACTCTCCCATTCCTGCAACATGTTTTCATCAAATGCTTGGGTATCAGTTAAATATAAAATTTAATTTGATTATGTTACAATTATCCAGTAACATTTAAAACAACACTGCTTAAGTAGAGACACAAAATATTGGGTGAAATAAGTAAAACGACAACTCAACCATCCCTTGAAATAATCCTAATCAATCTTTTAACCAGTAATACACAACGTTCCTCAATTTTTTCCTGTAGGAAGAGGCGACCTACATTGCTGTCCTCAATCCTTTACCAACTCCCAACTCAGCCTGCAGCCCAGCTCTGTACTAAAGCAAAATAATCTGTTAGGAGAGCTGCAGAATTAAAAATGTGTTTCTAGTTTCAGGTAGCATATTGGTTTGTTTTTTTTTTAAAAAAGAGTAAACTGAGATGGAAAGGACAATTTAAATCCATATTGGTGAGAGAACTGACTCTATCTGCATTACTAGCAAGTACTTCTACTTTAAAACTCTGAATTTAGAAGGAAAATGAAAAGTTACAATTGGAAAAAGGAAGTGCTGGTGAATACAGAAGTTCATCTCTATTTTATAGGCTGAATGTAATTTGTACTGGCAAATGCAAGCATGTAGGAACACTATACACAAAACTGTACCAAGAGGCATCATATAAATTACCATAACCAAATCCAAGTTGTTTCCAATGATAAAATGATAGAAAACAACAACGATAACAGGGAGAACTGGCTTAGATATATTAAATTGTTTTGTCTCAAACACTAATATAGTACCAAGGAAACTATAGATGTAAAAGGGACCTTAGAGATCATCTAGTCCAACTCTTTATTTTACAGACAAGGAAACAGCCCTGGATAAGGCAAGAGACTTGTCTAAGGCCACAGAGTTAGTTGCAGAATTGGGACCAAAAACTAAATATCATATAAACCTTGTCTAGTATTCTAAACTAGATCACCTTTGGATATAAAAATTAGTGGGATGGACTAGACTGGTGGCTCTTAGCATTTCTAATCATATACACTGACAGAAACCAAAAGTGTATTTTACCTCTGAAACAGACAACATTTATTAGTCCAAAATATTAATGCCTTACTAAATGTTGTGGAAATTCCACTAAGCCTACATATGTGTATACCTCCATCAGTACTTGTAACCCCACAAGTGACAAACTCAAACTGTATCAATTGCTTAGCAAAATGCTCCCAGTGACTGAGGAGATCTTCAAGAGATTTTTGGAAAATTGATAAGAATTAACAAGGGAGGTATTTGTCACTCTATGATTGGATATTTAAATATGCATTCATTCATTCATTAATTCATCCAACAAACATTTGAGTGCCCACTATAAGCCTGGCTTTGTGATAAGCACTAAAGATAAAATGATGAATAAGACATGGTCCACCTTCCTAGAGGAGCTTGTAATCTAGTGGGGAAGACAGACATAAACCAGATAAATTATATTACAATGTAAGTACTGTAACAGAGATATGAACAAAGTGCTGTATTAAAAGGGAGGGTATAAGTATGAACTGGCGAATGACCAAGTAGTCTGCTAATTTTGTGCAGTATCTTTGAGGCAAGAACTACCATATTTACTATAAACACAATCTCATGTTCCACTCCATCAATAATTAGGAAAGCAGCAGCATCAACGTAGAGTTAAAAAAAAAAAAAATTGGCACTGAAATCAGAATGCTTGCATTCAAATCTATTTTCACCCACTAGCTATGACTGGGCAAATCATTCCATCTCTATTAGCCTAAGTTTCCTTATCTATAAAATGGAAATGAACAACTCCTTCCTAAGTTTTAAATGAAAACATATGAAAGTACATGTAGAGTGCTAGTATTTATAAACAAGTAAAAAATTCAGTAGCAACTTAATACTAAGTAATATTTATAATTAAAATAATATTAATACTATGAATAATATAATTGTAAACCTAATTAATGTTGGTAAGATTTAATCTCCATTCTTTGGGATCACGCTGAAATATATTTGTCTTCTGATTCATTCAAAGCAACATGGCTTAAAACATTTTAAGTTCTAGGAAAACTGATTAGCTATTCATGGACTGAAATAAACAGAATATGTATTTTCAGTTACATTGTAAGGGAATTTTATAATTTTTGAAATATCAGGCTAAAACATACTAATCAAATTATAAAGCCAAAAATCAGCATGGAGATTTAACTGGCCTTTGAAAGATTTACTTTCTTTGTAATACCTGTTTGGTGTAAAGAGAAGAAACGTGAGCCTCTGCCAATTTGGCACCTTTCACGACTACTAAAAAGAAAAGAAAACAAACTTACCTAATGAATCAGAATAGCACATAGTCAACATACAAGAGACTACATAAAAATAGATCTTTGATTTAAATATATAAGTAAAAATAGTGACTTTTTGAGCAAAGTCACTATTTTGACAACTGAAATCTGATTTTGAAATTTTAAATATAAACGTAGACACGAATTGCAAGGCAAAGCATTTCTATGAAATAGTGTTACCATCAAGAAAATACACACAACTTCAACCCCAATTAGGGGTGTATGGGGAAGAAGAAAAAGAACAGCATCCTTAAGTTACTCCACTGGCAGAAGACTATGGTGGTGGTGGAACAACAGCTTTTGATTGTGAGGACCCCAATATGGAAGAAAGTAATTTTTTAAATGTGATTTTTTAATATTATCACTATAATCTCAAGAGAGGCAGAAACACTTGCAATCAAAATGATGAATTTGAAAATATAAATATGTAATCTCCCACCCCCATTCTACAAAGAATGCATTTATTTCCTGGAAACTGCCATATCAACTTTCAATGATCATGTTCACTTGCAAAAGAAATCCACTTAAAAAAATCACAGTATTGTTGCAAACATCAAAGATTTTTATACAAGTATAGGAAGTACACACTTAAAATATCAGACTGGAACACTTACCAAACAGTGTTTTCCTAAAGTAGTATCTATAGTACATTTCTTTATTCATATATCTTCAAATGGTCAAGTTTTCTTTCATACATCCAAAATGTAATGTGATGTTTTCTTATTCACCAAATGTTAGCTCTACTTGCAGTCTGGTTCCAAACTAATCAGCCTGCTTTTAAATTTTAAGACATTTGTTGAAAATTTATAGGATCAAACCAAACTCAAGTGGTATAATTTTTAAACATTGGATTGTACATTATTGTAAGGGTACCAGTAACCATTATTATTAAGAATAAGTTAGTGATTATAGCTCCTTTTGTGATAATTGGGGGGAAGGGTAGATCACCATCTGGAATGGTCTATTTTAATTTTTTTCTTTTCTTTTTTCTTTTCTTTTTTTTTTTAAATCAAGGAACATTGTCTTGGCTTTTTTTTTTTTTTTTTTTTTGTCATTGCTTTTCTCTTTTCTTTCCTTTTTTTTTTTTAAAGAGACCATTCCACTTTATTATAACATCTGGATGCATAAGGACTCATGTAAAGCAGTCATACACCATTATCATTAAAACCCATATGGTAAAATACATACACAGTCCAACAAAAGGCTAATACATAGTAAAGCCTAAGCATACTACTATGTAATATTATAATACATAACTTGGAGACTTTAGTTAGAGTACTATGTTATCTATTCAGTTTTGAAAACATTCATTAAGATTTTAAATGCAAATTCATTCCTTATTTGGAATAAAACAAAGTCCTCTAAGTTATAACAAGTATTGGTCATAAGTTTTCAGACCTATTCATTAAATTACAAAGAACCCAAAGAATTCTGTGATGTCCAGTAGAAGTATGTAATAAAAACATTGCATATGTTTCTAGTGTGATGTCTTTAGCAATTGTTTACTGAAGTAAAATGCAAACATCAATCTTTCAAAATACAAGATCAGAAGGTAGTTTTCTTCTTTTTTGTCTATTTGTGAAATCCATCTTCATCACATTTTACCAAAAATTGTTTTTACAAATATGTAAAAGTACATTAGATAATACTAATGAAACACAGGTAGAGTTCTAGCATATGCAGATCAATGATCAGTCAAATCATCTTCTCCAAGAACGAGATTCATTGTCCTCTTCTTCTTCATCATCATCTTGAAGTAATGAGTCATCCACCAAAGACTCTTCCTGAAACTTTAGGTTAAAATGTATTTAGGAATTTACCCAAAAAAAAAAAAAAGAAAAGAAAAAAAAGGTGACACTTTTAAATACTCATCTCTCTCAACAGAGTTGAATACAAAAGGTATTTTTATAGCTAGAACATTCACAAAACAAAGAAAAGCAACATTTAACCACTCAATGGTTTCTCTATATGATCTATTCTATTGCTTGCATGAAACACACTAAACAAATATCAAATAAAGCCTTTGTACATGCCATTTTTTCCTGCCTCTCTTTAGCAAATTACGCCATCTTCTGTACCTTTAAAATATTGGTCAAACTTTTTAAAAAAGAAAACAGTAAGTTTTCTCTAATTTACCCTCCTAACCTTGAATACTAAAATCAACCAATGACTTGTATAAAATTCTACCAAGATTTATATTTATATTTATTTTCTGCTGTATGCAACAAACATTTTCTATTATTGCATTCCTTTCTTTTCCCCATTCCCTTCATAAACACTTCTCAGACTGCTATTTCAAACTTTTCAAAATACCTAATACCAGGAGCTCTCCTGCTTTTCTCCCCATTCAATTCAAACTCATGGAAGGACAAAGGTATAATCTAAAATATAAAATGACAAATCATGTATATGAGTTTCAAAATATACATTTTTATTCTTGCATTTGACTATGGATATGTATAACAGCCTTGAAATGCTCTTCAAACAAAATGAAGTGCCATTATGAAGGTAAAACATGGAATTATTTAGTTTTCCCACCTTACCTTTATTTATTAACTTAAACTTTTTCCTAAAGTTTATTTTGTGATTAAGTAAGAGTTGCTTACTTTTAAGTTTTTGGTTTCAAAGGCCTCTAACACTTCACTGGCCCGTACCTCTTAGCCATCAGACTAACTGCTGTTACTCAAAGAAAAATGCACACTTTCATTTTTCCTGATGCTTATCCCTCCATCTAAAATACCTCTCAATTATATTACCAGCTCCAGTTCTAGCTTATGAAGCTGTTTTACTGCTTAGGGCCCAGTTCCACTATCAATACCTCCTTTAAAATTTTTGGGATGGAAACAATCACTCCTTCCTCTGAGTTTCCAGAGCATGTTGTTCAAATCTTTATTCAGCGTTATCAGTCTGCCTTTTATTGTAACTAGTTTCTTATGTGTCTGCCACCACCCCCCTTTTCAGATTATAAGCTCCTTGATGATAGATAGGGACCGTGTCTTATTCATTTTTGTGCCTATGACAGTATCTACCATATAACAGGCATTCATTCTAATGACTAAAATGATAAATGAATTAAAATAAAGGAAAGCTGAAATGTTAATAAAGCAACTGAGAATAGATTATCCTAAAACTTAAAATATTACAAGATTTCCTGTGGATAAAAATCTAATGAATAATCATTGTCTCTAAGGGTAAATAAAAATTGAGTATATATATATGATTTTCATATATTCTTTTTGAATTAGCAATCCACATTTCTTCTCATTATCCAGAAAATTTAAAGTTGTTTGCATTTATCTGATATCCCCTGCCTGGACTATGGGTCAGGAATAAAAGTTTTATGTTAAAATCACGGCCATAAAAATCACATTTTATATAAAAGCTATGAACGATTAAGGGTAAAAATAAGTGGAAAAAAAATAACATACTTCTTCTTCATCAGGCTCAACTTCTTCTGTTTCAACAGCTGAAATATTAGTTACTGGTTTATTCCATGCCAGTTTTAGATCTTGCCCTTTGAAACGAGCTCCATGAACTGCAGCCTAAAATGATTAAAAATATTGGAATATAAGACATTAAAAATTTCTGAAGAAAAAAATAAATGTCATAGTGCCTAACATTAAAATTAAAATAGCTAAAGACAACTGAAGATGGCTATCTGCCCATTTGCTTTTTGATTATTTACTATTCAATTTACTATTATTATAATTTACACTTTACTTTTTATGGTTATTTACTCCTACAATCAGACTAGTAATTGCAAATTCCTTTAAAAAGAAAACAAGAATAATTTCTCATAATAAAATATAGCTATTTCACTACTGGCCAATATTTGACTAAAAGAAATATGTCTACATGTTTATAACACAATGACAACTGCTGTTTAAGATGACAATCCCAAGGTACTTCAAGATCCTAGTTTTAATGTCTGAATCAATGTCTAAATTAGGATCAATATGCTAAATATATTTTATTTCAATTACTGTTCATTTACAAATGGTATATAATTATTAATCTTTAATAATAATTTTGCATGTGTAAAGTATATTATTTTCAAATTACATCAAATGACCAACTACCATAAAATGTTTATTATAAAACTAAAACAAAATATAAGTGTCTCAATGAAAGGAAAAAAAACCCCTCTGAACTCTTCTATTGAAAAACAGTTTTTCCTACCAAACTTTTATAACTGAATATAAAACGTGAACTTAAAAAATAGTCATGTCTAAGTACTTGCTATATTAAGTGGCTGGTTTGGAAACTGCATTCAAATTAGAGTAACATGAACTAAGGTAAATCAGTGTTAGCAACATATTGCCAAATAACTTATACTCACACAAGATTTATAATACAATCTCAAAGTACAGCATAATGTGAAATGTAGAAACAATTACATATTCAATGATATTTGACATAAGTTGTGTGGTATTAAAATCCCCAGGTATAAATTTTAAACCTGCACATATAAATTTATGATAAATTTAAAAGATTTCATGCCTGTTCAAATGCTGCTCAGAGAATTTTTGTCACAATGTCATACAACTAGAATTTTTTTAAAAAGTACTTATATGTATTTTAGTTCCAGGACAATTTGCAATTTTTTGAAGCTATCACTGTTACATAAAAATGTATCATATTCTATAAGGAATTCCAACTGTTTAATGCAAAATACCTACTCATAAAACTCATCCTTACATTCAGCTAAAAAAAATTCACCTAAAAAGCAAAAGAGTTACTGACATTTTCAAAAATAAGTTACTGACAAAAATTTCTGATGATCTAACTTTACACATCTCTATATTCAGCACACAGCTCCTCAAATCTATAAGATGAGGCTACAACTTTCTAAAGTTTCAACTTTAATTACAAAATGATTTACAAACTTTTTATTAACATTGCTCCATTACAAACTTGAGAATTAGGCTGTGTAAATTTTTGAAAGAACTGAGTTTTTGCTTTGTAAAGATGTAAATTTACTCAGGAAAACTAAGAACTTCTGATGTTATAAGAAACATATTCCATAATTACTTTCATTTTGATAAAACTATTGTTTTATATTAGAAAAGTTCAAGAAACCAATATTTCAGGTAATTGCAACATAAAATCTTTAAAGTTTAAACAATTCCTTCTGTAACCCACCCATTTCACTTTTTACAAAGATTCAAAATTTCAGGCCACGTAATGTAAAAAAGCAGTCCATGATTATCCCTAGCCCTAAGAGATAACCACTATTCTGTGAGGAATTCGGAGTTAAATCCTACATATATTTTTCTACACACATACTGAAAGAACTTCTGTATATAAATATGTATGGTATGTATACGGAAACATACTAGTTTATAACTTCATGGTTAAATTATTAACCCAATTCTTTTCATAAATATCTCTCGATGTCCATACCAATAAATGTCACTTTTCTTGAATGGCCATATATATTATATATTTAGCATAATTAAAGCAATTTCTACAGATATGAACAATCTTGTGTATTTGTACATCTTGTGTGACTTTCTATTAGAAGTGAAATGTTTGACTTTTTTCACAATCTGGCCTGCTTGTATTTTTCTAATTGAATGAAGTTTGGTGATATTTTGGGCAAAATATTTTCCCCGATTGGATTTTGATTTTATGATGCACCTTTTATTGGAGAGAAAGGGGTTGTTGTTGTTCTTTTGTTTTTGTCATCAACAAGTTTTAAATTTTTCATGTACTGGAATTTACCAATATTTTCCTTTATGAATATCGTGCCATACCTTAAAAAGCCCTCTCAATATTAAGACTATTTTTTTTAAATCCCTAGGATTTTACTATTTAAAAAAAAGAATTTTGTAGCATGTATTAAATGTTTTATGTATTAAAAAAAGAAAAAAAATTCATCCAATTTAATTTATTTGGATATTTAAAAAAGACATAATGCTGTCTTTTTTCCAAATAGCTAGTCAATTGCCCCAACATCATTTACTGAATAACTTGTTTTATTCCTTGATTTAAAACAACTCCTTTGTGATCCATTAAAATCCTCATAAAGTCAGCCACCACAGAACAATGTTTTGGTCAACAATGACTATATACAAAAGTGGTCCCCTAAGATTTTAATAAACCTGAAAAATTCCTATTGCTTAGTGACCTTATAACTATCATAATACATTACTCACATGGTGATACTGGTGTAAACAAACCGATTGTGCTGCCAGTCCAGTCATATAAAAGTATGGCACGCACAATT